>NC_000010.11:79385519-79537034 GCF_000001405.40 Homo sapiens
CGCTGGGCTTCCACACTGGGCCCAGCTATCTTGATGTGGACCCCCAGAGTGGGTGGGAGGCAGAGGGGAAGGAAAGGGAGTGGGGCTGACAAAACCTAAGGCAGTCTGGTGGGGGTCGTGGGAGGGGCTGCCCCACGTTCACCAGGACGCATCTCTCCAGCATTCTGTGCCTCCCCCATGCCTAACCCCTCCTATCTGGGTCCATAGCGTGGGGAGGGGGGCACACCCAGGTGCAATGCCAGTGATGTCAGAGGGGGTCTGGATTTGGGGCTTAAGGTGGGCAAGGGACAGAGAGGTCCACTCCCCAGCCGCTGTTGGAACACATGTCCCCTTGCCACGATTGCTGACTCAGGAAAGAGGGATTTCTGAGAGTGGCTTTCCATACAGGGCAAACCGGAAGGTTCTGGGTGGGGGCAGGCGGCCTGGCTGGTCTGGGGAGGTTTGGGATTCACAGTCAATTTAGTGCACCTGTGGCCAATACAAGGCTGCTCACCCCAAAGAGGCTCTCAGAGGCGAGCCTGTGGGGACACCCAGGGCTCCTGGACATGGGCTTTTGCTTGCCTTTGTCCCCTCCACTGAGACCCCAGGCCCGCCTGCAAAAAGCCCCAGACTCCCTGCTTTCCCTGGCCTGTGGGGGGCAGCAATGTCAGTAACACTGTTTGTCAACACACACAAGACAAGGACGCTAAGAGCCCCCGGCCCAGCCCCGCAGGCCTGCGAGGGCACCCCATGCACAGGGCGACACGCAGCCCCTCGGAGTAGCACAGGGAAGCAGCGTCTCCTCGGGCTGGCGGGGGGTGGCTCTGGGTGCGGGCGGGCAGCCCGTCACTGCACGCGACGGCAGTAGTAGCCCAGGACCTTGCACTTCTCGCAGAGGTGCTGCGGGTGCTCCTTGCTCTGGTCGGACACGTCCAGGCCGTCGGGCTTCTCCAGGGGTCTCTGCAGAGAGAAGGAGGAAGGGGCCCAGGGGAGTGAGGGGAGAGAAAGACAGAAACACAGAGACAGACAGGGAGAGACACACAGAGACAGACAGGTGAGACAGGTACACAGGGAGGGGACCAGACAGAGAGGCACACCTCTGCAGAGACAGAGACTGACAGACACAGTGAGGGAGAGACACACACCCGATGAGGGGTGGGGAGAGGGCGCCTGTGGTCACAGGTTGTTTCAGCCACGGTGCCGGGGCCCTCCTCCTGAGCCCGCATGCAGGCGTCTGAGTCCTAGGGCACACAGGTGGGGCCCTAGGCTGGGCCAGGGCTGTGGAGGGGCCTTGTACCTGGCACCCTGGCCATGTGCACTGCTCTGCTCTGCCCTGAGTGCTGCCTGAGGAGCCAGCACCTGAAGTTCACGTGAGTCCAGGTTAGAGGCAGGACACGGGTGCAGCCTGTCAGATGAGGAAACCCAGGCCCACAGCAACGGAGGCCTGGACCCACATCTCCCGACCCCAGCATCCGGCGCCTCTTCCCTGGCCACTCTCCACTCGCAGCCCTGCTTGTGTGGCCTCAGAACTCAAGGGAAGCCTAACCCGGACACAGTCACAGTGCTTCGGGCTTGTGGTGAGTGAGCTCCATGAGTGTTGATTGACCCCCACATCTCAGGGCCGGCCCAGTGCCCTATTTGTTGAGGCTGCATGAATGAAACCTCAGTTTTCCAACAAGGAACCTGAGGCCCAGAGAAGGGAGGTGACTTGCCGGGCCTGTCCTGCCACACACTCACTGGGTGATCGCAGGGAGCCTCCGTTTCCATATCTGTGAAGTGGGCCATTCACAGTGCCTCATTTGCAGGGGACTGGGAGGATCCAGAGAGACGTCTGGGAGTGTGTGAACTGGACAGCGGAAGGCACAGACGAGCACATTTCTATTAGAGAGGGAGCTTCCCTGCTCGCTCTTTTCCTCCCCTCCTGACTCTCCAAAGCTGGCGAAGACTTGTTTCCCTGGAGAATTTATGGAGGCTATGACGAAGAGCTCCTGAGTGGATGCTTTCTTGGCCAGCTCACGGGGATTCTGCCTTCTGTTCAGCTGGAGCCCCTGCCTGCAGAAGGGTCCCCTGCATGGACATGGGGGGCTCACAGGAAGCTGGTCAGGGCCAGCCTGGGGCCACATGCCCAGGAGAGGGGGCAGAACCTGGACTGCAGACCATGGCCCGGATGACAGGGGAGGGCAGCAGAGGGTGTGCTCTGTCCCCCTGGCCAGGCTGTGAATGGCTCAAAAGTAGTATACTGGCTTCTCCACCCAATCCACAGTCTTGGCCCCAAGAGGACACTCAGAGCGGTCTGGGAATGGAAGAGTCAGAAGGTTCTAGAAGGCAGGTGGGGAGACTGTGGTGGGAGGGTTCTGATCCAGGGACCACCCTTCTGCCCCTGGCCCAGGGGTCATAAAACCCATCCCTGTGCTCCCAGGCTTAAAGTCACAAAGCCAAGGCCTGGAGGGAAAGACAGGCACGTCAACCACATCACAAGAGGCTTTCAGGTGACTGGCTTCCCTGTCCAGCTTTCATCCTGGCCAGGGAAGAGAGGAGTTGGACTTCCTGTCAGACCTGGGCTCGAATGCCGGCTCTGCTACCTAAGAGCTGTGTGACCTTGGGCAGGCCACCTGTCCCCTCTGGTCTCCATGCTCCCATCTGTGAACAGGGATGCTGATAACAGCTTTCTCATGGGCTTGTTCTCACCAGACAACTCAATGGAGATAATGAATACAAACAGCCCGGCATGCAGAAGCTGTCTGTCGTTTGTCTTATCGGTGGGAGGGGGACACCAGCTGGTGGAGGGCTATCAAAATTAAGCCAAGATCCCAAGGTGAAAGGACCTAGGAAGGGCACGTTCCCTGCTTTCCTGGACGTCCCAGGGAGACCTCCAACAGCTCCTCCATCTGGGGCTTGGGTGCCCTCAGGGCTGGAGAGCTGCCTGCTGGCAGAGCCCACCGCTCAGTTTACTGCCTGCACTGTAAGAAGACTTCCCACCTTGAGTTAGAATCTGGGTCCCTGTCACCTCATCCTGGAGATCCCAGCCACACAGACTCTGCTTGGCTCCCAAAGGACGGTCTGATCAGTACAGTCGTGAAGTGTCCCCTCCAGCACACCAAAACAAAGCTGGTTTGCAGCCCCCACCCCCTTGACTGGCCAGGGCCTCTTCCTGGACCCAGTCTTCCAGGACAGGCCAAAAAGGCCAGACTCAGCAGGCCCCACACAACCCTCACTCCCCATGGCTTACACATTATGTGGCAAAGTACTGCCACCTAAGTCAGGCCACCTAATGTCGCCACCTAATGTCACCACCTCCCTGTGAGTGGCACAGGGAGGAAACAGGTCACAGATATATGGGGAAGGGAGTTTCCACAGATGAGGCAACTGAGGCTCCAAGACGTTAGGGACATCCCTGGGGCCTGCAGTGAGGAGGTGGTAGGTAGGGTGGCTGGAAAGCCACACATGCTGTTTCCAAGCCCTGCACTGCAGGGACATACTGCCTACCGCCTGCAGCTGGCCCCACTGGCTACACTGTATTGGGGCTCAGGGCCAGCTTGTGACCAGTGCCCACCCCAGACTGCAGCACTCCCTCCCAGCCCGTCTGAGTCCCTGGCTTTCTGTCCCCAGGGCAGCACCCTCCTGTGTTTGATGGAGGGGAACGTGTCTTCACAGGCACAGCGCTCTCCCCTGGGAATTCACTGGCACCTGCCAGCTGCACCCACCCTGACTGGCATCTGCCTTCTGAGTCTTCATCTCTGGGGCTGACAGAGGTTTTGCAGGCCCAGGACTGAGGGCAGAACCTCCATGGAGACTGAAGGGGTCACTGCCAGCTTGTTTTGAAGACTGTTCTGGAAAACTCTGTGTCTGGTGTCTTCTGCAACGTCTCCATATGACATGATATCACCAAAGTCAGATAGACAGAGCTTTGCATGCCAGCTCTGCCGCCTATCAGCTAAGGGCTGTTGGGAAGGATCTTTCTCCTCCACAACCTCAACTTGCCCTTTTGGGATCTGGGTGAGAGGTTAATAACATTCACTGACTTTTTCCTAGTGTGTGTGTGTGTGTGTGTGTGTGTGTGTGTGTGTGTCTGTGTGATAGAGAAGTAAATAAGATGACTGTCTTATTTTTATTTTTTATTTATTTTTATTTTTTCAGACAGAGTCTCATTTCTGTTGCCTAGGCTGGAGTGCAGTGATGCTATCTCGGCTCACAGCAACCTCTGTCTCCTGGGTTCGAGTGATTCTCCTGCCTCAGCCTCCCAAGTAGCTGGGATTACAGGTGCACACACCACCATCCATCTAATTTTTGTAGTTTTAGTAGAGACGGGGTTTCGCTGTGTTGGCCAGGCTGGTCTTGAGCTCCTGACCTCAAGTGATCCACCCACTTTGGCCTCCCAAAGTATTGGGATTACAGGCATCAGCCACTGCGCCTGGCTGACTGTCTTTTTTAGAGACAGGGTCACTCTCACATAGGCTGGAGTGCAGTGAATCCTCCCACCTTAGCCTTCCAAGTAGCTGGGACCACAGGCATGCACCACCATACCTGGCTAATTGTTTAAAAAAAATTTTTTTATAGAGACGAGGTCTCACTATATTGACCAGGCTCATCTTGAACTCCTGGGCTCAAGCAATCCTCCCACCTTGGCCTCCCAAAGTGCTGGGACTACAGGTATGAGCCACTGTGCCCAGCTGCGATGATTGTCTTAAAGTATTTTATAACCATAAAAAGCTCCAGAAGACTTAGTGATTGCTGTGTGACCTTTAGCAAATCACTTAACTTCTCTGGGACTCAATTTTCTCCTCCATAAAATGGGGGCTAAGTCTGTAGGCTAACTCTACATGATAGGGTTGCTGTGAAGAGTAAATTAGTCTATGCAAAGGGATTAGAACAGTGCCTGGCACATAGAGAGCATTCAAAATGTTGGCCAGTATTGGTATCATGTGTTATATAGGGTTAGGGGCAGCATGGGGGCAGGGGAAACAGCGAAGTCCCGGGTGAAATGATCTTGAAACATCCTTGCCAGCACCCTCCTGGGCTCATCTGAGCTGTGCCCCCTCCTTGGCCATGACCCCATGGTGGGAGTTCCCTCTGTGGGCACGGGCTCTGGCTCGACTGCTCAGCCCTGCTTGGCCTGCCACTGGGCGAGGAGCCTGGGGAAGCTGTCAAGACATTCCCCTCGGCAGACGGAAAACACTCTGCAGCTGGGGCTGACTGTGGTGGAGGGCCTCCCCCACTCCCTGCAGCAAGGCAAGGCCCAGTGGTGTTTTCTTCTTGAGGGGACCGGAGTCGGTAGGGGGAGCTGCAGCTGGAGGCCGACAGGAAGCAGATGTGGCGGCCAGGAGAGTGGGGAAGTGGGGGGTTCTCCAGAGACGGAGGCCACACAGGTCAGGGCTCTGTGGGGCAGGAGAAATAAACCAGCCCTCTCCACCGCGGGGCAACATGGGGAGCACCGCCGCTGGGCTCTTCAAAGGCTCCCGACAGCTGGGGGATAGAGAGGCACCACTCTCATACCCCCTCCCAGCTTGGGAGCTCAGGAGAGGAGATAGAGCCCTGGGCGGTGGGAGACCTGAGTTCCAGGGCCCCTTGACACCAGCTGACTGGTCACTGGTCACTTGACTACTCAAGTCCTGTCTCCTTTTGGGGCCTCAGTGTCCCCAGTGCACACAGTAGGTGCTCAACAGTGGCCTAATGACTGGAAGAGGGGAAGGGCCCAGCCACACACTCTTGAGGGATCCTTTAGATTGGGTCCTGGGAGAGCTGATCCTGAATGTGGAGATGGGGGACAGGTGGTCAGGGAGCTGTGCTGGGACTGAGCTTGGCAGGATGGAGATGGCGAGGCAGGTGGGGCCGTTGCCAGCTTGGGGATGGTGACACAAGCCAGGAATGGGCCTGGCATTGTGGAAGGGGCATGGTGAGGAGCCCTGCCCAGCCAGAAGCTGGGGCAGTATCGGGGCAGGGGCTGAGGGCTGGAGCCACTGCGGAGACTGGGTTCCTGTGGGGCTTTGGTGCACAGGCTGGGCCCTGTCTCTCTGCTTAAGTCACAGTGGGGGTCGTAAGGACCCAGCCCCCAGGACTGTCAGCACAGACCCCAGCAGCCCCCATACATCTGAGGCCCTGCAGAAACTGGGCTGTTCCTGACTCCTGCCCCCAGCCAGCCACCATTATCTGCCTTCCCTCCTCCCCTGCTCCCTCCCAGGCCACTTATCTGCCCTTCCAGGCTCCAAGCTATCCTCCGGGCCCCCGGTCTACTGACCTTCTACCCCATCAGAGCTGTCTTACATCTCTCCCTCAGGGTAGCCTTCCCCCAGTAGCTCCCGGAGCGCTCTCCCCTCCTGCCTCCTCTGTCTGCTTGTCCTTTGCGGTGACTCAGTACACATGGATGGCCCATCCCACCCCTGGCTCCTCCATCCCCCACTACCTCATCGACAGTGACCTTTCCCTCCTACCACCCCTCAGCCACACCCTAGACTTGGGCTTCTTCAGAAACCACCCATCTCTGCCCCCTCGTTCTCTCCTTCCATTCCACTGGCTCCCAGACTCCACCCAGTCCACAGGCCCACCCGGCCTCCCTCTCCACCGGTCCCGTCTAGCTTCCCTTCCCTGCCGATGCCCCACGATGAAGCACGGTCATCATACTTTTACAAATAGGCCCACCCCCCAACCATCTGCCCTCTGGAGTGCTCGCCCAGCCAACCTTTGCCCCGTGGACCCTCCGTACACCAGGCCTGGCCTGCACCTGCCAGGCGAGCTGTGCTGGAGCAAGTCACGGAACTAGGCTGATGCCTGCCACTGCATTAGGATTGCACACCTCCCTGGGCCTGGGATGCGGCTGGGTGGTCCAGCCAGCTTTCCCTAGCAGGCTGCTTCCTTGCTCATCCTTCCTCAAGCCCGCCCCAGCCCGCTTGTCTCCCATTCACTGAGAAAACAGAAGCCTTGGATGTGAGGTTCTTCTTTGCACCATCCAACCCATGAAACTTCCTAATTACCCCCTCTTCTCCCTCCCTCCTGTGCCGATGGGTGAAGCATCCCCCGTTTTGCCCCTGCACCATCAGCCCTTTGCTGTCTTCTAGATCATTCTCACCAGACTGCACTGGGCTCCAAGCTCTACTATCTCCACAACACCCAGCCCAAGGGCTCCTTCCCAGTTGCGGCCACTGCTGTGATTCTCTCAACAATCAAACTCTCCTCAAGAGAGTGGACAATGAGGCAATTCCCTCTGCAGCCAGATCCACACCAGCCTCCCCTAACACTGCTCCATGGACACTGCCTTGACTTTCAGGCCAGCTACAAATCAGCACCTCCACTCTCACCCTCATGCCTGACTGGCCGGGCTTCTGTGCTTCTCAAACCTTGGTTGTAGTTCAAGTTCCCCATGTAAAAGTAATGCTTTTGTTTTGCTTTGTAAAATTTGAGGACCATCGCCTTATTGCCAGATTTCTAAGGCACTCCTCTGTGGTCTCTATACCTGACATTTGAGCACCAACCACCAGCCAAGCCTCCAACAGCACTCTCCCGACCCCACCCCAGGCTTCTAGGACTCCACACCCCCTGGTTCTCCTTCTCCTTACTGGGTCTTCCTCCTCTATCTGACCATCAAACACTGGGATTCAGCATCACTTGGTCTAGGGAATCCCTTCTCTACTCTGTCTACATTCTTTCTGCAGGAACTCAAATCCATTCCCTACTACGTTTAGGTTGATGACACCCACTTACATTTGGGCCATCTTGACTTCTCACATGAGCTTCAGAATTACAGATCTAACTGCCTTCTTGACATCTCTAACTGGATTTTTGCAAACATCTCAAATGTAACCTGTATCAGAGGACCCCTGGTTTCATTTCCAACATCTGTGTCCTGCCCAGGCTGCCCAGTTCAGGAACGACCTCCTCTATCCATTCAGGTGCTCCAGCCTGCCTGGGGTGGGACTGTTCTCCTAGGCTCCTGTTCTTCCCCCACATTCCACCACCAATCTGGTGATGCTTGGTGTCACATCCAGCTCCAGAGCCACCTCCAGAGTTCAGTCCCCTCCCAGCTCACATGAGGCTATGCTATTGGCTTTCCCACTGGTTTCCACACTCAATCTCTGCACACAACCAGAGTAACTGACTTAAAATGAATCTGAAAGCCCTGCTGCTCTTGGGTCCCTCGAGTGCCCCCAGGGCTCTGTGACTGCCCCATCTAGCCCTCTACCCCAAGCCTCTTGCTGCCCTCTCCTGCGCTTTCACTGAACCGTGGGCCTGAAGCACCCCAAGTCCTTACAGCCTCAGGGCATTTGCACCTGCTGTGCCCCCTTCCTAGGATGGCCAGCCCCCCACTTGTGATAGGCCTAGCTTCCCCCCATCCTCCAGGTCCCCAAGTCAGCATCAGCTCCTCTGAGTGGCTTTCCCTGTGCAGCTGCCTGAGGTAAGACCTTCCTAGGAGGAGCTGGCCCTACCCCTCCCACATGCCCGGGCCTGGTGCACACAGCCACCCTGTTGACACTGGCCGACTGGATGGATCAAGGAAGGAAATTTGAGTTTTCTGCTGCTTCCTGCTGTCCGCACATCTCTGTCTCACAACAGCACACCCTGTTCACTAGTTTTACAATTCCCCGGGGTTCTCTGGTCTCAAGATCTTGGTGCAGTTGCCCCATCATCCTCCTTCCCTTCCCTTCCCTCCCATTTCAGATGAGACAAGGAAAGAAAGGGTCAACTTAGAGAGATCTCCCTTGTAGGAGGGAGTAAACTGAGGTCCGGTAAGGGAAAAGTTGCCCTCCCGCGGTCCTTCTGAGAAGGCCCCAGCCTGCCCGGCTCACCTGCTTGTGTGGATACACGTTGATGTGGCACTTGATGCACTCCTGCCCCATGTTGGCCCAGGAGTTCCCGCTCATCCATTTTCTCTTGCACTTGGGACACTTGTACTCGCCGAAGCAGCGCTTTTTGCCCTGGTATGGAGTCAGGCCCTCGCCTTTGGGGCGTGCCTACAGGGCAGGAAGCAAACACAGGGGATTGGAGTCCAAAGGCCAAGATGATGCCCCACAGGGTTCCCCTGGCCTCCGCCTCAGTCTTCATGTCCTGTGTCCATGTGTGCAGGCACCTTTTGTCCCCAGTCTAGATAATACCAGGGTCATCCCCAGAGCACAGACGGGAATCCGAAGGCTGGGAGGCACATAGGGAACAGAAAACAGAGGAGATGGTGAAAAAACAGAGGAGATGGCGCACGTCTCTTCTAGATTTAAGGGGTAAAGTACTCAATGGTGGCTGGAAATTACTTCCTTAACTCACACGTCATCAAGGGCAGCTGGTCTCATGGGCCTGCACACAGGCACTCTTTGGCCTACCCAGCAGTGTGCTTTAAAGGGTCATTGAAGAGGCAATACAAGCACGGAAACTGGTGGCAGTGCCAATGAGTCTTCCTCCTCCCTGCACCCAGTCAGCTCCCCTACTAGGAGGCAATCTAAATTCCCTCACACCACTCCAAAGGCGGGCCCTGCATTTACAGATGCATATGACATGCACATTTGTACATACATTCTTTTCCCTCATGAAAATGGAAACAGATTATCCATCTGGTTCTGCATCTTCCTGGTTCTGCATCTTCCATTCTAAAGATTTATCTTATTTTATTTTTTCGAGACAGGGTCTCGATATATTGGCCAGGCTGGACTCAAACTCCTGGGCTCAAGGGATCCTCCTGCCTCAGCCACCTGAGTAGCTGGGGCTACGTAGGTGCATACAGCTGTGCCTGGCTACTGTTTTTTTTTACTGAATAATACATCTTAGAGTTTTCCCTACATAACTACAAATAGAGCTACTGCATTCTGTTTAACAGGTGCACACAATATAAGTCCATGCAAGCTCCGTAGTGCATTGACCAGTTACTATTTTAGAACATCTAGCTTGTTTCTGTTCTCCCATTATTACAAACAATGCTATAATGAATAACTTCATATATGTATCATTTTGCACATGTGTGAGTGTATTTGTGAATATAGAAGTGAAATTGTTGGGTCAATGGGTATGAGCACCACTAATTTTTAAAGAGCAAATTGCCACTGCCCCTTCTTCCCACATACTGCAGGTATCCCAACTTAACATTCCATATCAGCATCAACAGAGTTTTCATTATCACCAATCTAAAAGGTAGAAAATCTTCTCAGAGGAGCTTTGACTTGTATGTCTTTTATTATGAGCAAGAGTGAATTTGCCATGCATTTAAGACTCACTTGTGTTTCCTTTGTGAACTAATTGTTCATACTTTTTGTGATTCTTTTTTCATGCAGGAATAGCCTAATATTTTTCTTGTTGATTTGTAACTGCATTTTATATATGAAAGAAACTAGCTATCTCCCACACAGTGTTATTTTAACAGCTTTGCTGATATAATTCATGTATCTTACAGTTTACCCATTTAAAGTGGACAAATCAATTGGTTTTAAGTAAATTCACAGAGTATACAGTCATCACCACAATCTAATTTTAGAATATTTTTATTGACCCCCCAAAAGTAGCCCTATACCCAGTAATAGTCCTTCCCCATCCTACTCCCACTTCCTTATCCCACACAGCCCTAGGCAGCCACTAGTGTACTTTCTGTCTGTCCGGATTTCCCCATTCTAGGTATTTAATATAAGTAGAAACATACAACATTTGTCCTTTTGTGTCTGGCTTCACTTAGTGTCATGTTTTCAAGGTTTGTTCATGCTACAGCATATGTCAGCACTTCAATCCTTTCTGTTGCCAAATAATATTCCACTGTATGGATATGCCATGCTTTATTACCCCATTTATTAGATGATAGACACTGGGGCTGTTTCTAATGTTTGACTATTATGAATAATGCTATTATGAACATTCACGTGCAAGCTGCAAGTGTTCTTAAAAGTTGAATGAGTTACCCTAATATTTGCAAATGGGAGATTTCACACAGAAATACGACCACACTGGTCTAGAATCCTTGCTGGTTGAGGTTAAGGAGTGGCTGCCCCATCAGCTTGCATGCACGTGCTTCCTCCACATCACCTCTGCTCCCACCAACTAGAGCTGAATTTACGTTCTCTACTAGGCCCTCGCAGGCTTTGAGTTGGAGAGGCTTAAATGCAGGCTCTCCACAGTGGTTATTCAAAGTGTGGTCCCCGGACCAACAGCGACAGCACCACCAGCTTGTTAGAAATGTAGAGTCTGGAGCCCCACCTTGGATCTGCAGAATCAGAACTGCATTTTAACAAGAGCCCCAGAGAATTCATATGCCATTACGTTAAAGAAGTGCTGGGCTATGAGATGATGTTGCCATAGTAACTTTCCTTGGGGAACTGCCCATTTATGAAGTGGTGCATAATGGTTAAGGGCACACGCTCTGGATCCAGATCCCAGCTCTGTGATCTTGGGCAAGTTACTTCACAAGGATAAGGATAGTAACTACCATATAAGACTGTTCTGAGGATTAAATGAGCTGAGGAGTAAATGCAAAACATTTAGAACAGTGCCTGGCACACAGAAGACAAAACAGGAATATTAATGCCATTGTTATTTATTAATGTAGAACAAAAAGTGGTATATAAAATTGGTACATAGTTTCTTCCTTTAGTAATCATGCCTCTTTGTCCCAGGCGCCATTACTACCACTTGGTG
The DNA here is from genome assembly GCF_000001405.40 of Homo sapiens. Classification (NCBI taxonomy): domain Eukaryota; kingdom Metazoa; phylum Chordata; class Mammalia; order Primates; family Hominidae; genus Homo; species Homo sapiens. The sequence continues at coordinate 79,397,091 of NC_000010.11, forward strand.
ATAGCCTGCTAGAATTTCAGACAAAACATTAAGAGGGGACATACGTGCTGAGTGCGCAGATCTAAAGTTAGAAAGTGACACCAACACCACCCTGATCTCCTGGGCCCACTGCCTAACGTCTTTGGATCCTCAGTGGCCTTCCTGGCAGCTGTAACATTCTTGGGAGAAGGTTCAGCCTGAGCTCCAGGGCAGGGCTGCCCTCAGCACTGGTCAGATCTGAGAAAGGGGTCAGCCACACCCAGGGGAGTGCTCAGTGGGCAGCTAGGGCCCGGGGCCAGTCAGTTTGTAATAGAGGGGTCAACGTGTGCCTCTGAAGGCACACTGAGCTCTGTTGATCTCAAGTTAGTGCATGTCCCTCTGACTGTTTCTGGTGCTACCTTCTCCTTCACCTGGGGTCTGGAACCTGTGACTTCTAAGCCACCCCCTCTATCACAACCCCTCATCTTCCATTATCTGAAATAAAGCACTGGATGAACTCACTCCCCCATGTCTCCCCAGAAGCATCTACGTCTTCAGAGGGGATGAGGGGGCAGGCATGGGTGCCTCCCTGATGCTGAGGTCTGAGACTCCTTGATCGAAGGTGGGAACTTGGGGACTCTCACCAGCCAGGCCCACTCTGGATCTGGTTCTGCAGGCCTCTGAGCTCAGAGAGCTCACAGGACCTGGTGCCTGGCCTCACACAGTTGGGGCAAAGGACAGGGGTCAAGGTACCAGAAGGAGGGGTCAAGTCATTCCAGGACACTGGGCAGAGTGAAGCGTGGGGACTGGGGCCAGACTGGAGGTGGACTCTGGGAATTTGTTCCCAGAGCCCCTGCTTCAGAAATGAACGGGAAGAAAACCCACACAGATAAAGAAGACACTGAGTGAGAACCGAAGGGAACAGGAAGATGAAAGAGAAGAGCGAGGGGTGAGCCAGGAAGCACAGACGCACCATGTAATTAGAAAAGCAGCCGTCTGGAGCCGTCCGTCAGGGCGTGTGGGCTGCTTGGCAGGCAAGGGATGGGGCCCCAGCCTCCTGCAGGACCAGACGTCCTCAGCGCACCATTCCCACGGCTGCTGTCAGGCCAGGCACTGGGAGGGCCCGGCTCCAACACGCCATTGCATGGGATGTGGCTCCAATTGTGGTCTCCAGGGCCAGATGCCTGCAATGACATCTGGCTCTGCCTGTGACTATCCAGGGAGTTCCTCGCCAAGTTATTCAAACTCTCTGTGCCTTGGTTTCCTCATCTGGAAACCAGGATGATGATAAAGGACCTGCCTCCCGGGGCTGTTGGGATTTGACACATTCATGCGTGTAAAGGTCTCAGCTCAGTGGTTGGCACACTGCAAGTGCTCGGTCACCATTAGCTATTTCAGGGTGATTCTCTTCTTCGTTGCCTGCACTAGGAGAGGGAGCAGAGGTGTCTGAGGTATTGCCGAGGCTAGGGCTGAGGTCCACAGGCATTAGTCCCAGGAGGATGGTTCCAGAGATGGGAGGGAAACCTGGGAGGGATATCTGGGTAGCTCTCTATCCCTGGGTAGGAATGGACTGGCAAGCAAAAGAAGAAACAGCATTAGGCATCTTCGCTTTCTAGAATTCTCATGGAAGGACCACGCTGCAGAAGCTCTGGGGACACTGCTGGCAGAGGTTGAGGAAAGAGGAAAGAGAACTGGCATTTGTGTGGCACCACCTGTGTGCTGGGCTTTATGCTTAGGACTCCACAGCCCGTCAGACCCCCAGCCAACTCTCCTGGAATCCTGTGGGGCAGGGGACATTATCAACCTATTAACAGATGGTGAAACTGAGGCACAGGGAAGGGGTGGGACTTGCCAAAGTGCTTCCAGTGCGTGAAGGGCAGCAGGCTAGGCTCAGCAGGCTCTTCCACAAGGCCACACTTGACCCACCTCTTCTGTCTGCCACCCCCAAAATTGCCCCCACCATGATGGAGGCTTGTGTTGGTGGGGAGAGACCCCCTAGCAGGAATTTTATAAGAAAATTCCTAGGGCCTCCCCTCAGCCCAGTCCAGTGTCAGGCCTTGGCGGTGACCTCGGTAGAGGTGGCCTACAGGGCAGGGGTAAAGGCAGTGGATGGAGGAGAAGAAGGACTGTGGGCAGCTCTTAGCAGCAAGGAGCCATTTCCTGGAAGGGTTCAGTCCCGACGTTGTTTATGCTTACAAATGAGGGCAGGGCCAAGGGGAGAAGGAATTTCTAACGGAACAAAGGCTTCTCTACTCACCACACACCCCCCTGCCTCCTCCCAGAAAGGCACGGCCTCTTCTCATAAACTTCAGCATGAAACAGACGGTAACTGCTGACAGCACTGCAGGGGCCACCACCCGCCCGGCTGGGAAGGAAGCCAGGCCTGACCAGGCTCTCCTGACCCAGGCCCCTGCCACGTACCCCTCTGGGGGATCACATCTGCCAGGAGCCTGGGCAAAGCTCACTGGAGCTCAGAAACCACTCCTTGTAGCACAGACAGGCCCTTTGGGGACCAGAGAGGCAAGGGGACTCACTCAAGGACACACTCAGTAAATCTGACTGAGCTCGGGGGAGGGAAGGATCCTCTGACTTCCAGAGTGAGGCTGGGATCCTCACACGAGGGCAGCCTGGGAAGTGGGAAGCTGTGGCCAGTATGGGGGTGGGAAGGAGGAGCCAAGCCAAGGAGCAGAGAAGGCAGCGCTGCAGGGCGGGGAAGTGGGAGGGGCCCCCCGGGCAAGCCAGCGGCTTCGGAAGAGATGTGGAGGAGGCTCACACTCTCTGGGCACTTCTTCAGAATGGTTCAGTGTTTTCTTCCCATCCCTGCGTGAAATCTCTTGAGGTTGGCTGGGAGGTGGTGAGCTGCCTTTTACTGGGGGTATGCAAGCAGAGGCTGAGAGAACAAGTATCAGGGAGGCTGCTGAGGGGGCCTTTGCCCTGGTCAGGCAGGTGGATCTGGTGACTCTGGAGGCACTTCCAACTCTACAGTCCTCCCAACCCCTGCAGCTGGTAAAGGCCAACCAGGCAGGTGTGGAGACAGGCACTCTGAGATGCTGCTGGGGTGGGGGCTGAACAGGTATATTTTCCTACTGTATTTCTATAGGACAACTTCAAACTTCTGTAAGCCTTCAAACTTTAAAAAAATGTGCATTCCTTATCCTAAGCAAATCCATCTCTGGGCGACTATCCCAAGGAAATTATCAGACATGCGGACAAAAGGGGTGTTCAAAAATGTCCATTACAGCATGAGTTAGGACAATGTAAATCTGGAATGAGCGAAACATTCAACAACAATGCCCGGGTTCCCTAAATTACGTTATACCCTTTGGATGAATGACAATAAAGCCACTAAAATAGTTATGGTGATTTTTGTTCGGGGTTTGGGAAAATACTTATAAAGAGAGCAGGATAAGCAACCGAAGATAACCGCTGCACAAGAACAGGACTGGCAGGAAAGCAGCCACAAGGGCTGAGAGACAGGACTGTTGATGATCTTACTTCTGCAGCTTATGCTCTGTCTTAATGAATGAATTGCCTTTAATGAGTGGGTATGGCTTGGAAGAAGATGGTAGCCAGCCCACTCCCTGGCCTGCAGGCCCCTCCTGCCCCCTAGGGGGCGCACTGTGCTTTCCCAAGGTGACAGAAACCCCACAGAGATGGTGGCTGTGGCCACACTCCTGCCCCTGCAGGTGTGGACCCTGGGGCCTGGGCACTGGCTGGCTTCAGGCTGCTGGTTCTGTTGGATCATACTCATGTCCATAGAGCTAGCCCCCCAACTGTGGAATGCACTCCCCACCCCTGGGTCCCTTCTGCTCCTTCCATTTTAAGGGAAGCCAGACATGTCCACACACTGTCACGTGACACCACAGCCTGACTGGTCACTCCCCTCCAGGTGCTTGAAGTCCCACCACGAGTGAGTGATCCTTTAGGGTGAAGCTTGATCTCCCCATCCCTTTTAGACAATGAGTCCCTTTTGCACAGAGGTGACATTGTGGCCTTTGGTTGTTGAGGCAGAGAATCATAGGGACCAGGAGGAGAGCAGGGTGGGCACTGAGAGCCTGAGGCTGTGCCCTGCACGCCAAGACTCCAGGCTGCACTGTGCCCCAGGATGCACGGCCTCTGCCCTCTGGATATGGGTTCCAGCTATAGGCCTCGATACCTCCCAGCCTGAGGTATGTGCCTCACCCCCAGACCTGGCCTTGCCACTCCCATCTGCACAGGGGCGCAGGCCTGTGCCCTGCCAAACCCTGGGATGGAGAAATCACTGTTGCTCCAACATTGGGTATTTTTGGTCAGGGCCAGGCACTCTTTGTGTCCCGACAACCATCCATGAGCTAAGTACGGTTAGTCCCAGGTTTCAGATGGGAACGCTGACGCATGTAGAGGTTACATGGCTTGCCCAAGCTACGCTGCCAGGAAATGGGGTAGTCCAGATCCGAGCCCAAGCCACCTAACGTGGGCTCACTTTCTAAATTGCTACACAACATGCCAGGATTGCACAAAGAAGAGACCCACCAAGCCGGGATGGTGAGAAACGGGAAGGGGCCGCTGTTCTCATGGGTCCTGGCATGCTGGGGGCATCCCTCCCCATCTCTGGGCCTCAGTTTTCCCATCTCCAGAATGAGAGGTTGGACTGACTGCTGGGCAGGGTCACTGGCCTCCCAGGAGGCCCATAACTCAGCATGTGCCTGGCAGCCCACTCACGCTCCGCCCTCCCATGGAGCACAAGGCCGACCCCACCGTGCGTCCAGCTGAGAGGCTCTGGCTGGAGCCAAGAGGAGCAGGGGGAGGAAATAAAGAACAGATGGGCTGCCTGCTGGCCCCTGTCCTGCCCGGTCTGCCCAGTCTGCGTGCTTTCCTGCAGCCCGGCCGCTGAGGTGGCCCTGGGCTCCAGTCTACCTTCCCAGAGAGCAAGAGCCCCGGTCTCAGGAGTTCGAGAAAGACTTTCCACTGATGTAGAAACAGAGGCCACAGGGGTGGGGCAACTAGTCCACAGAGGGGGCGCAGGGCTGACCACGGACTCACGACCCCAGCCCAGGATCCTCTGTGTGGCCTTGCTGGCCCTTTCTGGAGGCCTTTACCAGAGGAGGCAGAAGGTCCCTGGTCATTCTCCCTAGTGTCTCTCCTTGAGCCTGGGGCAGTGCGGAGTAAACAGGGGATAGAGGTCAGAGGTCCAGGTTGGGCCCTGGCTCTCCCACGCCTGTCTTAGATACTTGGTTTTTCTTTTTTTTTCTTTTTTCTTTTTTTTGAGACGGAGTCTCGCTCTGTCACCCAGGCTGGAGTGCAGTGGCGTGATCTCCGCTCACTGCAAGCTCCACCTCCCAGTTCCATGCCATTCTCCTGCCTTGGCCTCCCAAGTAGCTGGGACTATAGGTGCCCGCCACCACGCCCGGCTAATTTTTTGTATTTTTAGTAGAGACGGGGTTTCACTGTGTTAGCCAGGATGGTTTCGATCTCCTGACCTTGTGATACGCCCGCCTCGGCCTCCCAAAGTGTGGGGATTATAGGCGTGAGCCACTGTGCCCGGCCAGAGCCTTGGTTTTTCTATCTTCCATGTGAGGGGGCTGCTCTGGTGGAGCTGGAGACACTAGCATTCAATGAGCACCTACAATGTGCCACACGCTTTCTGACCTGGCTCTCCAGAGCTCTTTCATTTAACAGGAGAGCAAACTGAGGTACAGAGAGGCCAAGCAACCTGCTCAAGGCCACACAGCCATGGAGCCAGAACTTAAACCCAATTTGCTGACTCCAAAACGACACTTTCCACTGAATGTGCGGCCTCTCCGTGAGACGGTTGAGAGAAAATTAAAGAAAAAGCCTGCTCCTAGGAACACAGCCGCACCTCTTACCTCCGACCCTGGCCACCACCTCAATATTCATTTGTTCACCTAATTTACACTGAGCACCCACTCTGCACCAGGCTCTGTGGAAAATTCCAGAAATATGGAAACAAGACAGATGAAGAATGCCCTGTCTTCATGGAGCTCTCAGTCCAAGGCCTTCCAAAGAAGTCAGCCCTGTGACCCTTTCCCCAACCGTGACCCACACCAGTCGCGAACTCCCCTAGCCACATACTCCTGGGCTCAAGCCCAAGTCGGACTCACACCTGTGAAAACACACTTGGATTCACGCCCTCAGGCAGAGGCCAGACAGACCTCCCAAGTGACAGGCATGGGACCTATGCATGCCACATGAAATTATCTCTGATCACTGCCACGGCCTCATTGAATCAGCACTCTTAACCCTAATGACGGATGAGGAAACTGAGGCTCGAGACAGGGGCAGCAAGTCTGCCAAGTGCTGAGCCCCTGGCTTTTCCTTCCCCTCTGTGCTCTGTGGTACTGCTTTAGGGACCAACCAAAGACCTCCACACTCACATGTCCACATGCACGGCCGGGGGAGGCAGGTGGAAGGGCTGCGTCCCTGCAGCCTGGTCTGGGCAGCTGCAGGCTCCACGGAGGCCCCGGAGGAAGCAGGCGGTCAGAGGGACAGGTGGGCTGGGCCGCGGCCTGCAGGATGCTGGGAGGGAGGAAGGACGCGGCAAGAGGCCACCCGGGGCTTCCTCTGGAGCCTCAAGGGCCTCCTTGTCTGCGCACAGCCGTCCTCGCCTCCTTGCCCAGGGCCCCCTCCCCTCTTCTGGGTTCCTGCTGCAGCCCAGCATGGGCCCAGAAGGCCTGGCCTCTTGTCACCCCTCCCACCCCCGTTCCCAGCCCAAAGCCACCACAAAAATGCCATCCTGATTCCACAACACTAGGGTTTGTCAAAGTGCAAGGAACAATGGGAGCTTTCACAGGGACAGGAAAAGGCCTCAGGAAAACCCTGGGGAGGGGGGCATGGAGTGGGGGTGTGGAGAGGAGGGAAGGGAGATAGAGAGGAGAAAACAAGCGGGGGACAGAGAGATGAGGGAGAGATCCTGGAGAGACAGGGAGTGAGGACACGATGTTGGGAATGAGGGGCAGGGAGTGAGAGAGCGCCCGTCAGAGCAGATAAGAGGAGAAGGGGGGACAGGGTGCCCAGGAGAGGCGAGACATGATGCAGAAACAAACCAAAAGGGCTGGGAGACAGAGACATTCGGGGGAACGGGGCCCACAGAGGCCAAGGAGCCCCTCCAGGACCCAGAGAAGTGCCAAGCCCCCCAACACCCCGTGCCTCCAGCCCTGTGCCCGGCCCTGAGGCGCTGCTGCCCAGAAGGCAGCAAGAAGCCCCCTCTCCAAATCCCACCCCAGCCAGGCGATTTGAAGTAATCTCAGGCAAAACTTTTTGGAAAGCAAAGACATTTTAATCACATGAACAGCCACTCCCTAAGTTATCTGTTTCCTGCTCTGGCTTTCCTCCCTTAGCAAACCACACGGATCAGAGCGGAGGGGCGGGAGGGGAAGAGGGGCCGGTCCAGAGGGGTGGAAAGCTTCCGAATCACAGGGATTGCAAAAGACAGAGGTTTCCTCCGCCACTGCAGAGACAGGGATTGCTGGCTGCCTTAGTGGGTGGATGGAAGATCTGCAGCCACCCTGCTGTTTGCTGATTGCTGGAGGGGACTATTGAGTTTGAAAACCATTTGTTGTTTCCAGATCTTGCACATCCCTCTTTGGGTCCCGTTTGCTCAGCAAGACCTTTCTTCCGACTGCACCTCTCTCTCCTGCTGCAGTCACCGCCTGAGTTGGGCCAGGCAGAATCTCCCCAAATACTTAAATGAAGGCCCACTTCAGGTTTGGGCCTCACCGCAGAGCTGAGATGAAACATGCAAGGCATTCGGGCCCCTTCCCCTTCTGGCCCCAGCTGACCTTCCACCCACAGCACTTACACTCAAATAAAGAAAAGTCACTCCCTGCAAGTGACATGCTGCCCATCTGTGCCTTTTTCTTGCTGTTCCCTGTACCCAACACTTCACCAGTGAACAGCCATGTACCCTTCAAGAGCAAGCTCCAGGGGCACCCTGGTCTCCCTGGCCCAGAGAGGGCTAATGCACTGCTCAGGAGCTCACTCCACTGCTGAGTCCCAGGCTGGCTGGTGTGGAGATAAGAACCCACCCGCCGCCTTGCCCTGGAGAAGGCCCTCTCCCTGAACTTCCAGGGGACTCTGTGGTTTGCACCACACGCTTAGCTCCAGGAAAGGCGAGAGACATGATCTTCCCTAGGTCATGTCCTGCCCTGACCCAACCTCCAGCTTGCCAAACTCAGAGATTTCACCCGAAATTTAAACGAAATTCCCCTACTGCCATCTTGTTTCCCACAAGCCTCTCTGTGTGCTGCGGTCAGGTGCACCCTCCACACCTCTCACTTCTATGGTAGCACTAGGCTCAGGCTGGGGCTCAGAATCCTTTGGCAGCTGGAGGGGACACCAGGAGTGGCAGTGCCTGCAAAGGGTGAGGTGTGAGGTGGACAGCAGAAGTTAGGGCAGGGTGGAGGTCGCACAGGTAGGAGGTGGCAATGCCAGGGCTGATCATGGCGTGGGCTCTGTCCAGTCCCAGGACGCCTCCTTGGGCAGTGCTGAGCACCCTGGACGGCTGTCTTGAGCTAGCAGCGCCATTTGCACAGGGCAGCTGGCCCCTGGCTCTGTGTCTGAAGGCGTCCCTGGCAAGGCCTGGATAGACATGGCCGTGACCAGCCCAGCCTTCCCTGGCTGGAGGGAAGGTGGTGGGTCAAGAGGTGGAAAGGCCTCAGCCTGGAGTGAGGCTTTGGGTGTGAGGGCCACAGCCCTGGGAGGAGGGGACAGGGGAGCTCAGCTCAAAATAGTGATGGGGGAAGGGTGTGCAGGGTGGCCAAGTGCCAGAAAAGAAATCTGATCTGCCCTGGCCAGTGAAATGCTGAAGTCAGCAGTTTGGGGCCACTCTGGCAGAGGCCTGGGGGCTGAGGCCCCCACTGCTGCCTGGCAAGAGGCTGTGGGCGTGACTTCCAGCCTCGCAAAACCCTCACATAAATCACCTCCTCTCTCTGGGATTCGATCTCCTCATCTGGGTAGAAAGAGAAGCAAACTTTCCATCTCTGGGTGAGCGCTGGAGCTCACAGCACTTAGGAGACTGTGGCAACCACAGACCGGGGTGGAGAGTGCTGAGTCTCCCCTGCGTGCTGGGGCTGGCCACGCACACAACCTGTAGGTAGCTTCATTGTGATCCCATTTCCAGGTGAGGAAATAGAGGCTCAGAGAGGTTAAGTCACCTGTCCAAGGTCACAAAGCAAATAAGCAGAAGGCTTCGAACCATGGCCTTTCTCCCTGTTGCCCAATTCCCTCCTTGCTGAGCGAGATATCGGAGGTCCAGAAGGCCATGGACAGGTACAAAGGACACCTGTGGCACCTGTTCTTCAATTGGGTGGAGGGGAGCTCTGCAGAGGAAGAGCTGCTCTTATGTGACTTTTACAGGGGGGTCGCAGGGAGGAAGGAAGCCTCACATTTCCCACCCCTGCTGACCCTGCTTCTTCACCAAGGGGCTGGAAAGACATTCCCAAACTGACCTTTCTCCACTGTCCCCAAAGGCGAGGGTGTTCTGTGCAGGAAGCTCTGCAGGAAGCAGGATGATGGAGTGTCCCCAAATGGTCACTTCCCCTGCCTGGGCCCCAGGTTCCCTGGCTCTAAAACCCTCACAGCTCCTGCTATGTGTGGGGTTACCTCCACCAGCCATTTCATCCTCCCTGTAACCCCTACAGATGAGGAATCCAAGTCACAGAGAGGTTAAGAGATTTGCCTGAGGTCACACAGGCAGGAAACAGCAGAGCTGGGATCTGAACCCAGGCCTGACTGACTGCTGCAACGCCGCATGCCTCCTACATGGCCTTGAGCTCTGACCTCCTTGCCCTTGTCTGTGGACAGCCCCACAGGACAATAATCCCGCTGGTGCCCTGAAAAGGGAGGAGAAGGAGAAGGGGCTGGCTGGTGGTACTTGTTTTCATACCCACCTTTACACACCCCAGTCTCACTACCTGGCACACCCTGCCTCCCAACCAAATCCAGTGGAAGCTGCACTTCCTCCGGGAAGCCTCCTTGACCCTTCTGGTCTCTGTCCCCTTGCCCCAGGGCTCCTCTTGTCACTCTCTGTGCCACAGTGCCACCCTAGGGCCCCCTCTACACCTGCTGAAGGCAAGCTGGACACACGCCCCGCAACCTGTGTGCACACATGGCCTCTTTGCTAGGGTCTGAGACAGCGCCTTTAAAGTGCTGATGGGGTGGAGCGCCAGCCAGGTGCAGACCTGCCCCCAGGGAGCGCCTGTCCCAGAGGAGCACTCGGTGGTGTGGGAGCCAGGCTGACTGTTGCACAGTAACCATGCCACACACAGGGCTGGGAGCGCCAGTCCACATTCCCCAGCAGGAAGTGAAGGCTCATTCTGAAGCCATACGGCTGTGCTCGTCTTTCTGATTCCAGATTCCTGAGCCCCTGCTTCTAGAGCACACGCTCTTCTTCGCTCACGAGAGCACGCACAGGACCATCGGGGCATTGGTACACTGCACGCTGCTGCCCTGGCCCCAGAGTCTCAGAATCAATAGGTCTGGGGAGGGCCTGAGAACCAGAGTCTCAAATGCCTGGGCGGTGCAGCTGCTGCTGGTCTGGGGACCCACCTAGGGAGCCACCGCCCCAGTGATCCTGGTCACAGTCTGTTAAAGTCCAGTCAGATACTGTCACCTCCATGCTGTCCCCATCTGCCCATTCTACAGCCCAGGAAACTGAGGCACAGAGAAGGCAAGTGACTTGCTCAAGCCATACAGGAAGTTAGGGTCAGAGCTGGGAGTGGAGCGCAGGGCTCCTCACCCCAGGAGCTGGGCTGGTTGCAGGACAGTGAGGCTGCTGGGCTTGAGAGGGGAAAGCCTGGATTGGGGGAGAAAGGCCCATCTCTTTAAAAGCAAGACCGGCGGTGGTGTCAGTGGCGGCGGGGTACTGGGGAGGGCTGGCCTGGCTCTCCTGGCCCAGCCCCAAACCTGTGACTCCTCAGCATCTGGAAACCATCACCGGGAACAATGATCATGGAGCAGGAGGCCGGGCTGCTCAGGGGCTCCAGCCCTGTCTGTTCAGGAAGGCAAAGGAACACAGAGCCTGCAGGCACCTCCTGCCCCCACCTCCACCACCGATGTTTGCCTTGGCACCAACACACACAGCTCCCAGTGGGCCCAGCTGTTGGGAAAAGTCAGCCCCTGAGCTACAGATGTGGAGGCTGGTGGCAAGATTGGGTGCCCAGAAGCCTGGACGGAAGCCAGTTGACCCCAGCTTAGCTCCCTGCTCTGCCTGCACGACTCCTGGCTTATGATTATAGCACTCTGGGCCTCAGTTTCCCTGCAGGGAGCTCAGGGACTACCCAGGTTAGGCCAGCTGCTTACTATATACTGGCATGTATCTGACCAGCTTGATGCCTGGATCCCAGGTGCCCCCAGGGATCCCGCTTGTTGTCTGCAGGCCAAACAACCAGCCAGGGAGCAGGGAAGGCTTTGGAGCACCAATCACCACGTGCATTTACTTCCTTTCCACATGTGCCCTCGACAACTATGAATTAGGCACCCACAAGGCACTGGAGGAGGGTGGTTAACAAGACAGATGCAACCCCGGCCCCCATGAACTTACAGCCAGGCGCGGAAGAAAAGTAAGTATCCCATTCAGATCATTAAAGCTGTGATGAGAGATATGAAGGAATGGGGTGTCGTGGCAGAGGAGAATGGGGATCCCCTCTTCACAGTGAGAAGCCATACAGAAGGTCTGTTCAGGGCAGTCAACCATTCCCATTCCCAGTCTCTGACGGTTCACAGCCTAAACTGCAAAAGGTGGGTGTTTCTGACCTCCTTCCTGTCCCTGACCCAGTCCCTACACACTGCCACCAGCAAGCTCTGTGACCTGGGATAAGCCCCTTCCCTGCCTGGGTCTCAGTTTCCCCATCTGTCCATGATGGGGGGATAAAGTAAAATCAGGAAAGGCAAATACTTCTCCCTGTGTGTCCACTCGTAACTTGCCACAAAACTACTGTGGTGTGAAGGATTCTGCAGCTATATCCAAGCTCGACAGGCAAGAATGGTGTGATTTTCGTGGTGCCTGCCCTGCCATGGCCGGGGGCAGCAGGCACACATGACTTGAGTTGGCATTCCTGACCTAGATGATCCCTAAAGATCCTTCCAATGCAAATAGTTCCATGAGTAGACAGCACACAGGCTTGAGAAGTGGACAGAGTCCAAGTCCTGGCCACTGCTTCTGCACACCTCTGGGCATGTAACAGAGGCTAGTTTTTGCCAGGCTTGGGCCACTTGGGTGCTGGGCTTTCAAAGCACAACCCTGGCTGCGGAAGCTCTTTAGAACTGTGACTCTTCCTCCAGGGAGCCTTTCCTACCAGCACTTCTAGCAGACATCTCCCCTGCCCTCCAGGGACCCCCTGTACCTTGTGGATCTCTGTAGGAAGCACTTAGGATACACCCCTCTCAGCTCATGTGTCTGTCACCTCCTTCCCTGCCCTCTCCTCAGGGACAGAGACCCTGTAGGGGTCCCCTCTGATTCCCTGGGCCCAGCGTGGGTCTGGCACAGGACAGGGGGCTCTGGGGAGCAGGTGAAGGGCAAGTGACCATTTGGACATGACTATCAGCCTGAGAGAAGTATCTGGAAGAGAAAGCCAGAGGGGTAGGGGAGGTGTGGGGATGGGGCAGGCAGCGGCCTGGCAACTTCCTGGGCAAGCATGCTGGTCGCTGTTCCTGGTCCTCAGTGTGGCTATTGTCCCTGATGGTCCAGGGAACGGGCTCAATAGGGCCTCTGTCCCTCCCTGAGCAGGCCAGCCCAGCTCAGTGGTGTCCCACCCGGGCAGCTGGAAGGCGAGGGCCGACACTTCCTGTCCCCACTGCGAGTGTTTGGAGGAGCAGGGGGAGGACGGGGGCTCTCAAGACAAGCACCCATCTGTGTCCCCCAGAGAAGAGCTGCCCAGCTGGGGGAGGAGGCGGGAGAAGGGAGAGCAAGGCAGGGGATGCGTTCAACCCTGTGCCTCCGCCCCTCCCCTCCCAGCCAACTCTCCCTCTGAGCTGGAGCTGTCAGGAGGCCCATTCTGGCCCTCTTGCTCTTCCTCAAACAAGCCAAGCACATCTGTGCCTCACTCAGAGCCTCTGCACTTGCTGTTCCCTCTGCCAGGAATACCCTTCCCCCAGATGCCCACACCATTTGCTCCTGCTTCATTTGTCTCTACTCAAGTTGTCATGTCCTCAGAGACACCATCCCTGACAACTGTCTTTGAATATGACCTGCCACCATAGCATATCCATTGGTGTCAATTTCTTTACTATTTGTCATCCTGCAAGATTGGGAACTGCATTCTTTCCTCATCTTTCTTGTTCACTATGGAATGTCCCATGCCTGGAGCAGCACCTGGCACATAGTAGGTACTCAATAAATACACGATGACCAGTCAGACAAAAGTAGCATGCTTGAACACTGATCTGGCCTTCTGGGATGTGCTCAGGATGAGCAGAGCCCCATGTTCTGGGAGCATCTGGCCAGCATGGCTGGGGAGGAGTGACGTCACAGTGGAAAGGGCCCTGTGGGGCTGGAGCAGCCTGTGCAAAGGGCTAGACCACGGGAAGCATGGAGGGCTTGAGGCTTGGAGGCCAGGCCAGTCCAGGTCCTAGACCATATCTTAGAGTTAAATATCAGCCCAGGAGTATGGGAAGCCAGGGAAGCGCTGAAAATGCGAAAGTCTGCCTGGCATTGTGAGATCTCTTTGGCTGCTGAGTGGACAGAGGGGTTGGACATGGGGGGACCAGTTAGGGGGGTGCTGCCACATTGCTGGGGAGAGGTGGTGGGGGTGTGGTCTGGGGATGGGTGGCAGAGGGGAGAAGAGTGAGAGACCCCTGAGATGGCAGGAGGTTGAGTCAGCAGCACTTGGGCTAGCCTTGGGGGAGGAGAGCAAGGACTCAAGAGCAACTCCCAGGTGTGTGGCCTCAATCAGCTGCGGGGCTGTGGGGGCTGAGGCAGGAGCTCCCCTCTTGGCCCATGGTTGCCCTGGCTCTGACTGGGGGACAAGGCCAGGGTGGAGCAAGGGAAGGTGATGACGGTGTCTTGTGCCGGCAGTGATGGACGGAAGGAGGACTGGCCGTCACTGGACAGCAGGCAACAGTGATGGATGGCAGCCTCATGATAACTGTTTGCCCTGGCTCCTGTCCTCAGGAATCGCCTATAAACCTGTCATGTGAGCCTGCTCAAGGTGCCCTTGGGGGTATGATCCACCCTAAAGCTGATTTGAAAATCACCTCGGGGCTGGTAAAAAGAGGCCTTGACCTCTGTCTTTAGATTTACAGTCTAATGTGGCCAGGCATCCTGGCATGGTGCTATAATTAAACACACACACACTCCCCTGCAGGTGAGCAAATAGGCTCAGAGCAGGAACCATGTGAACACAGGCCACGGTGGCAGGCCAGGGCTTTCCCCACTGTTCCAAGTTGCCTGCTGGGCCCCAAAACAATTCTTCAGAGCCATGAAGGAGGACTCAACGGAAGGGGTGTTGAGTCTGCAGCGGAAGAAAACCCAGGAGGGAGAGGATGGAACCAGATTCTAGAGGGAAAGGTGGCCCCAGCCTCCCAGGGCTCAGTGTGCCCAGTATATGCACAGAGCAGGACTGCCAAAGTCTCATTCCACTGCCCACGGGTGCCCCACTTTCCAGAGGAGGAGGCCAAGGCCAGGGGACTCCAGCCCACACAGCCTGTGAGAGGCAGGGCCAAGCTCAGGCCTCCTGGGATCCCAGGCCAGTGCTAGGGAGAGTCTGAAGCAACTGTGAGGACAGAAGAAGGGTCAGGAGACCTCCAGGAGGCCTCGGCCCCTCCTGGAGGTGCCATGCTCAGCCCCAGGACCCTGCCATCCCACTCTGAGAAGGTTTCTCAGCCCCAGAGACCTGCTCTGCCAGGGCAGGACCCCCAGCAAGTCCACCGTCCCCAGTCCCTGGAGCACCCCACATGTGCCCCTTACAGAGCCCTGGCTGTCTCTCCTGCCCTTCCCTGGCTCCCAGAAGCCCAGAAGGCCAGAATCTCGCGAGTGGGAGGAACCACGTGGGGAGTCTTGGCTTTTAGAAGCCCTGGAGCAAGGACTTCCTGCTACGCCTCCACAGGGGGCATTGAGCCTGTGCCCTGAACTGGGCCTGGGTGTGCACAGGTCTGCAGCTGCACATGCACACACGCATGCATGCACACAGGGAGCGAGCGGAACGCACCGTGGCATGACCTGCCAACTCCGTTTTAAGTCAACTGACAAGGAAGTGAGTGGCCAAGGCAGACCCATGGCTCCAGAACCCCAAGGGAGGTAGCTCAGGAGCTTCCTGCTAAGCTCTTGGGTCCCCTGGACTTGGCAGCAGCCTGCAGCGGCATGAGCCTCTGTGCGAGTGTGCACAGGTGCATCGGTGAGGGGCGGACATGCCCGTGTACACCCTCGCCCCTTGGCAGCCCCGCGTACGTACATGGTGTGGGTGGCTGTGCAGAGCCCTGTGTGTTCCACCCATCTCCAGGGACTGGGCAGCCACAGGCAGCTCCAGATTTCTAAAAGTGATAAAAATAGCCACATGGAAAATTGGGAGAATCCCACCGAGGGAGGAAAACAGGCAACCACTAGCATCTCTTCTAGAAAATGTCTTTCTATTTCCCTGGCCGTGGACTGCCTGCAGCCACGTAGAGAGATGGCCACCATCCATCATGTGGCCCTGCGTCCCCTCTTCTAGCTGAGTACGAAGTGAAACAGAGCTCTGGCTGTGCGGTCCTGGAGACCTGGGTTTGAATCCCAACTTAGCCATTACTGGCGGCAAGAGCTTCGACAAGTTTCTGAAATGCTCTGAGCCTTGGTTTCCCCCGTGTAAGTAGGGATAATAAGATCGATCAGGCAGGCAGTCGAGAAGCTTTAAGGAGCTCATGAGTACCAAGCACATGGCTGGAATTCAGTTAACAATAGCCACCATCAACATCATCATCACCATTTTCTGGACATCTGCCTAAATCTCAGGTGTCCAAGGCCTTTGGACTCTATCTCCTCTACCAGCCAACCTTCTGAAAGCCCAGGAGAGTCTGCAATCCATCATTTTATCTCTGAAGGATTATATGGAAGTCTACCCAGACACCTTCAACAAACACAAGCCACTCATCCAAAATGGGTTCAGTGCTGAGGGGACCAGTGGGCGGTGGATGTGACCAGCCTCTGCCCCTCCCCTCCCAGCATGCTGGGTTTTCCCCTGGGGTCTCATTTAATCCTCACAGTAACTCTGTCAATTACCATCCACCGGCCCACAGCATGGAGAGGCCCAGAGAGGTGGAGAGACTTTTTCAAGGTCACACAGTGAGTGAGTGGCGGGACCCCTCCCCACGCCTGACTCCAGCCCAGCCTCTGCCTCCTGGCCTCTGAGCCTGATGTGCACTGGCACAAGGCGGGCACCCGTCCTGGGGGAGTGGAACGGAAGACTGTGGTCAGGCAGGCAGGAAACGGCCAGGAGGTCATGCGGGGGCAGGGGGAGCCTCTCCTGGGCCTAGTGAAATCCGCCAGGCTACAGGCTTTAAATGTGTAATCCTGAGTCACCGGGCTGGTCCCTGTCCCCTTGGAGGGACCTGAAAGTCAGCTATAGAAAGCTGATGGTTCTGTGCAGAAAGCCAGACCTGGGCCTGACTAGCTGGAAAGGACCATGCAATGACAACCGGGAGTTCAGGGCCCTGGGTTTGGATGCCAGCTCTATCAGGCATGTCACCTCCTCCTTCTGGGCCTTAGTTTTCCTAGGTGGAAAAAGGGTATATGTGCGTGCGCATGTGTGTGTGTGTGTGTGTGAGAGAGAGAGAGAGAGAGAGAGAGTTTAGGGAGGTGCTTCGGATGTGATAGCCTCTAATGTCTAAGCCAGTCTGACACAGAGAATTCACAGCTTTGCTGTGAGATGGGTGGATACAAGCAGCAATTCGGGGATGTAGCTGTATGTCCACCTGCTGCCCTCCTTGCCGCATGGCCACATGTGCCCCTCACACTTGCTCCACCTTCCAGTCCTCTACAGCCAGTGTTGGAGGAAGAGCCAAAGAAGTGAGAGCTCCGTGGGGTCTCTGTTCTCCCCACCCTCACCCCTTCCACCAAGACAGGCTCTCCAGGCCAAGGAGGTGAGGGGGCACGTGTCCCAGCTTATACGATCACCACCTTGTCTCAAGGAGACAAAGTCTGGGCCCAAGCCTTGGCGGCCAACTGCCCAGATGGAATGACAGGTCACAGAGTTGCTGAATTTAGAATTTTAAAAAATATTAGTGCCACAATAGCTTAAGTTCTTGGAGTCTCTAGAATTTGGGATAATGAATGTGTTGGAATTACAGACATGGAGAATCTTCATTTTAGAGAAGAATAATAACTGCAGTTGGAACACAGAAACACACGGAAGGTTTCAGAAGCACGTACTTGAGGTATACAGAATGATTATAGAATCTCACACTCTTAAAGTCACAAAACCAGAACACTCAAGTGTCAGAATCCTCCATTGTGGGAAGCTTCACTTCTCAGAATAATAAAGCTGCAGTCACATGACCTAGGGAATCTGAGGTTGAACATCTGGAACCTCTGGATATCTAGAACCTCTGGAATGTTCATTTGGGAGTCTCCCGGAACCTTGTAATCTTGCATTCCCAGGACCTCAGGAGGATAATTGTGGTTATGATCACCTGCAGCCACCACAGCTGCCAGAGCACCCCACCATCTCAGACCTGGCAATGGTGCTTTTGCCCAGCTGCACGTCAGAATTACCTGGGGAGCTAGGAATATGCCCTTGGCCAGGCCCACCCTGGATCTACTGAATTCAAATTTCTAGCACCAAAAACCAAACCAAAACCAAAAAAAACCCAGGTGGTTCTAATGTGAAGCCCGAGATGGAATCACTGATCTTGTCTAACCTCTCCTCCATATTACACATAGGGAAACAGAGACTGCAAGTAACTGGCCTAAGGATACACAGCACTGGTCCCCAGGCTCTTCATCAATGTCAGGCCTCCCAAGCCTCTACTTGCTTCCTCTACCTGGACCCCTTGGGTCCAGGTTTCCTGTCCCTGACTCACCGCATCTGTCTCAGAGGACTTCTGCCCCTGGGGTATTCCTAATGATCTTGGGTACCATGAAGGCTAAGACACAGTGAGACACACTGAGTTGCTAGGCTCACAAAGCCAGCCCCTCCCGTCCTCCCATTGACATGCTCAAAACCTCCAGGCTGCTTCAAGGGAGGTTGCTAAGGTCATCAAGGTCACTCCCCAGCCTCCAGGAAGGCCTGCAATGAAGAGGGGCCCCAGGCACAGGGAATCAGAACCCAGGGCTCCTTGCTATGTGACCTTAGGTGAGTCCCTTGGCCCCTTGAAGTCAAAATGGTCTCAGGGCAGGACGGTGGGCAGAGGGCCTCTGGGAATCCGTTCCAGCTCTGCCTCTTGACCTCACACACACTGGCCACACATTTAAGGGGATGGAGTCTTCAGTGTCCTTGGCTGGCTTGCTCCTGATCAGTTGGGACGTTGCTTCTTATTTCTAACCTGGAATATTCCAACTGCGGTTTCAACCTTTTGCCTTCCTGGGTGAAGGTGGAGAATATCTGGTACAAATGCCCTTTGTTCAGAAGAAACCCCTAGCCCTACTGAGCCCAGGCTGAGGGTACCCCCTCACTCCTCCCTGCACCCTCTCCCAGGTCTGAAAGGCCTTGTTGATTCTGGTGGCAGCTGCACTCCCAACAAATGGTCTCATCAGAGGTTGTTGGAGTGACAGAGGCTGTTAGAGCCTCTGCCCAACTTCAGCTTAATTCTGATGCACTCATATCTCCTAGGCAGTTGAGCAGGGCAGGGGTCTGGCTGGGCCACAGCATTTTCTCCAACGAGATGGGAATTTCCTGCCAAGAACCCCTTGTAGGCTATGGAAAGAAGGCCCAAGAGGCAGCCTCCGGGAATGGGGAACTGAGAAGCAAGAAATTCCTAGACCAGTGTTTCCCATGGGTGATGGGGGAAGCTTGTGAAAATGCAGACTCTGACCCAGCAGGACTGGGGTGGAGCCTGAGGACCCGGGCTGCGCATTTTTGATAAGCTCCAGGTACTGCCACTGCTGCCGGTCCACTGACCACACTTTTAGGCAAAGCCTTTAGATGTTCATAAATAAAAGTATTTTTATTCCTACAAAGCTCTTAACTTTTGTTCAGCTTGGCTTTCGTCATTTCCAGCTTTGTTAGCTCATAAGACCTACACGGCAGCCTAGAGGGACAGGATGCATATTGCTGGGTCCACTGCACAGAAGGGGAAATTGAGGTGTGGCAAGGGCAATGGGCTTATTCAAGGTCGCCCACTTGGCTCTGCTCCTTCCTCTAAACTCCTCACCTATGGCTGGTTAGAACCAAACGCGTTGGTAATGAGTGGCCTCACTGAGTAATTCCTTGTCTTGCCTCCAACTCAGCTATGTGGTCCAAGGCTGCTGGGGGTGTCCAGGGGGCCCTTGATGAACTGTGCTGGCTCTCTGAGGCCTGAGCTGGTGGGATAAGGTGGGGAGGAGGGGATTAGAAATCACCCAGGGCTCAAATCCCAGCCATGCCCTTGGCTCCTGTGTGACTCTGGGCGAATCCCTTGACGTCTCTGAAGACATCAGTGATGTGCTGGTACATGGAGGATGCTCAGTCAACATTAGCTCCCTGCCTTTCTTTCCTCCTCCACATCCTGAGTCTTGTTCATTTCTTCCTTTTTTTGCACATATTTATGACAGCACAGCCTCTGAAGCAAGACTGCTGGGGAACATGTCCAAGCTGTGTGACCCTCGGCAAGTCACTTAGCCTCTCTGTGCCTCAGTTTCCTCCTCTGTGCAATGGGGATAAGAAGAGTGTCCAGCACAAGGGCCATGAGAAGATTAGAGGAGTCAATGGGTGAAAAGTGCTCAGAGCAGTGCCCGGAACACAGTGAGCGCTCCCTGTGCGTGTAGCTGCTGTGCTGTTAATATGTTTCCCTTATGACGGGGCCCTGCTCAGAGTGGGCACCACGGCAGACACTGTGGATGGCGCACTGAAGCCACAGCAACGCAATGGCTCACACTTGCTGAGCACTCACTATGTGCCAGGTGCTGCGCTAAGTGATTTTCTGCCAGCCTTCCCCCTCCCCGGGATCACAATCAAAAGAGAATACAAAATACTAAGCCGTTTGTGCAGGGTGTTTTGGGAACACAGAGGGAGGACTGATGCATGGGGAGGGCTCAGAGGGCCTGCGGGAGGGAGGGGCACAAGGCTCTGTTTGAGCTTCACAGTCCCCAGGAAGGAGCAGAGGAGCATGGGCCCCTGTTGGGTTTTACCCCTTGTCATCATGCCTACTGCTTTGGGGGCACCCCTCCACCTCACCATCACCCCAACCTGTCAGGGAGAGACCTGTGGCTCCCACACAGCCAGGGAACTTGGAGGAAGCCAGGCAGGGAGGAAGGCCTGGGTTCACAGTGCCTCCTGCAGCCTGATTTCTGCCAGGGCTGGAGATCAGCAGGTCTACAGCATGTCCTAGAGGATGGACCCCCATCCGTTGTTGTGGGCAGAGGGAGCAGTGGGAAAGGCACGGCCTAAGGTCAGACTGACTTGGCCTGATCCTAACCAGCTGTGGGACCAGGGGCAAGTTATGTAATCTGTTACAAAAGAAAAGAGGAAGAAAGGATGAGAGACAGAGATGAAGAAAGAGAAGAAGAGTGGGCACATGGGCCACAGATGACATCCAGGTGAGTGTAAGAACCCAGCCAGCAAATGAGACGAAGGTGCTCCGTGAGCCAGGCATGAGGAAGGCCTGATGTCCTCGGGCTCCTCACCCCCATTCCATGCACATTTCTTCCCTGCACCTGCTGCCCCGTTTCTCTGAGCCCTGAGCCTTGGAATGGGAGGGAGTGGGGGCGGTGTGTTGAGGAGCCATGTCTCCAAGTCAGGCCAGGTCAGTGGTGCCAAGTCCTCTAACCCACAGGCTGGGATCTGGCCACCTTGCCCCAGCTGGGCCACCTCCCACTCCACACAAAGCCACTGGGAGCAGGAGGCACCCAACACAGGCTCCACCCTGGGCAGCCACCCCAGACATGGTGGAAAGGGAAAATGCTGCCCTCACAAATATGCCTCCAAGACCCCATGGCAGTTGAGGCAGGGGTCAGCTCACAGCAGCCACCAAGGCCTAAACACCCTCGCTCGCACACCTCTGATCATCTCAGCAAATGTGGCTGCTCGCTGGGCAGTGGAGCAAATGGTATAACTTCACAGTTCTCAAAGCGCGTTCACCTGTCTGATCGCCTCTGGATCTCACAGAAGCCCTGAGAGACAGGCTTCATTGCTGATGCCACTTCATGCATGGGGGTGTGGGGGCCCAAGGGTAAGGTCAACTTGGCCAATGTTGAACAGCTAGAGAGACAGCCCTGGGATGAGAGCTCGGGCCTTCTGACCCCAAGGCCATGCTCCCTCTGCCTGCCAGGCAGACACAGACCTCGCCTGGGAAGTGACCTCAGGAAGTAGGAGACAGACTTGTGCCAGGACCGGCCCTGGGCTAGGCACGACTCACCAAGGCAGGAGCACATGGGGCATAGAAGGGCATAGGGGCTGCACCATGCAAGAGGACGTGTTTGGGCTGAACCTGGGGGAGATGAGAGAGTCACTGGCTAAGGCCATAGCACAGGTGGAGTGGGGATGAGAAGGCTGAGCAGAGGTCAAACGGCCCAGGCTGGGCTACCTTCCAGGACTGGGGCAGGGCAGAGTGAAGCCCACCCAAAGAGGGGCATTCTCTGTCCCCTAGGGGCCAGATGGGGATGGGGGAAAGATGAGAAACCTGGTTGAGATTTCTTACCTCTTGAGGGCCTTAAAACCAGGTTCTGGGGAAGGGGTGCTGTCCTGACAAGTTAGGGTTCAGAGAGGAGAGCTCTGAGGCCCTGGATGGTTGGGGAAGACTCCCTGAGAGAGGTGGGCTCAAGCTGGGCTCTGAAAGGGGGATAGGAGAGAAGAGATTCGGGAAAGGCATTGCAGACTCGGGGACAGTGTGAGCAAGGCCTTGAGGCTGAGAAGCCCAAGGGGTGTGTGCATGCACGCACGTTTGCATGTGTGCACATATGTGTCTGCGTGCATGCATGAAATTAAGCAGCTGCAGGGGTGGGTCAGGGAGAAGGAGAGGGGCTCCGGTGGGTGTTGCTTCCCAGGTATCCGGGCTGCTTCTCATCTCCCTCACACCAACCCTCCCATCAGGTACATGAGCCTCACTTTACAAATGAGGGCAGATCTGGCTCAGGAAGCCCCACGGCCTAACAAGTGATACCAACAGTGAGGGCTGCCACTTACTTACTGAGTGCTTGTGGGATGCCAAGCCCTGCATTAGACGCTTTCCACACACACTCTGCAAGGATGGTGAACCCATTTTACAGATGCCTGGGAGAAGGTGGGCAACACGGCGAAGGACACACAGCTGGGAAAGAGCAAAAGTGAACTCTGAGTCCAGCTCAGTGAGACTCCGCTGCCTGGGGCTCTCCTGTTCTTACTGAGGTTGAGGGACCAAGGGATGTCCCAGCCAGAACCTTCCCCGGAGTCTTCACAGCAAAGGGCACTTGAGTTACTCCAAGACAAAGGAAAGCCATGTGAGAGGGGCAGGCCAAGGGCCTGGCACACTGGAGGCCCTTGGCAGGTGAGGAATAAATGAGTGAGTGAGTGAGCCTTTCTGGCATTCAGAGGAGGCCAGTCCCTCTGAGCTTGGAGGAAAGGAGAAATCAGAGAGGGCTTCCCAAAGGAGGTGACACTTGGAGCTATTCAGCTTAAGGATGCACTTGCTGTGCTCCAGCATTCCATTCACTAGGCCTTGCAGGTAGTTCAAGACCAGGACTGGTCCTGGCTCCTAGGCTCTGCCAACATCTCTGTCCCTAAGGCTCAGAAGCAGAGGGCTGGGAAGGTGAGGCCATTGACCCATCGAGATTCCTGGGGACTCCTAATTATCATCTGCAATTCTTCTAAAAGCAGAACTGGCAGCTGAGGATGTGAAACTGGCCCTCCTAGGCTCTTTCCTGCCAGGCAAGAGGCAGCAGGAAGGATATAAAAGTGGCTCCCCATGAGCCCTCACACTCCATGCCCCACCCCTCCAATCCCCCACCCCTGCTCCACCCCCAGCAGCTGCTCCTAGGCAAGCACTTGGAGAGAGATTCCTCTTCCCTGGGCCATAGGGGAACTGACAGCCCACAGGCGGCACTGGGCACCTTCCAGCTGTGCATCGCCCCTCCTCCCACAGCACCCATCCTGGGCACAGCAGAGTCCCCCCAGCACAACCTGGGGGACTCAAAGTCATCTGGGCCTTCCCCTGTCCCCTCCCCAAGACCCCTGAGAAAGCACAGCCTTGTCACCTGGCCTCTCTGCAGCCCCTCCCAGAGGCAGCCCCTCCCTTAGGGAATGAGGGTGGGAAGGGAGGGCTCCAGCCACCTCTGTGGATCCCCACAGTGCTGAAGCAGTCTCTTAGAACCCTGGGACTTCTCAAGCCAGTTTGAAACAGCGGAATTGAGGCATAATAATAACGACAGTAGGCTGGGCATGGTGGCTCACGCCTGTAATCCCAGCACTTTGGGAGGCCGAGGCGGGCAGATCACTTGAGGCCAGGAGTTTGAGACCAGCCTGGCCAACATGGAGAAACCCTGTCTCTACTAAAAATACAAAAATTAGCCTAGTGTGGTGGTTCATGTCTATAGTTCCAGCTACTCAGGAGGCAGGAGAATCGCTTGAACTCGGGAAGCGGAGGCTGCAGTGAGCTGAGATCATGCCACTGCACTGCAGCCTGGGCAACAGAGCAAGTTTCTATCTCAAAATAATAATAATAATAATAATAATGACAGTAATTAACAGTCCTAAGAGTTACTACTTGCAGTGCAAGCAAGGTGCCAGGCACTGTTATAAACACTTCAGATAAAATAACTCGGTTAAGCTCACAACATCCCATGAAGTAGGATGTTTTAATATCTTCATTTTACAGAGGAGGAAACTGAGGCCTAGAAAGACTGAATGAATTTTTCCCAAAGGCACATAGCACTGCTGCTACAAGGCGGCGCCAGGGGTGGAACGCAGGCAGGCTGGCTTCAGGGCTGTGCTCGAAGGCACCTCACTGAAAGGAGAGGGCTTCGGCAGGGCAAGGAGGAGAGCCTCGAGGCCCGGACACTGGGTTTGGGGCACTACCCTAACGTCAGCATCTATGCCAAGCCACCACCTGCCAAACGGCAGGCACGACACCCCCAGCAACACCCATCCCAGCTGACATTCTCTGAGTGCTCACGACATTCCAGGTTCTGTGCCAAGTGCTGGAAGAACCTCAGCTGAGGCCCCTTGGCCAGCCAGCCCAGGCTCCAGGAGAACCCCCTGCAATGCTACCTTCAGCACCCATCCCCTGCTATGCCATCTGCCCTAGGCCCAGTCCTTCCTCAGTGGGAACACAGAATGATGCTGTCTGTCCTCCCTCTTCTCCCTCTCCCTTCCCCCTCCCTCCCTTCCTCCCTCCCTCCCTTCTTTCCTTTCTTCCTTTCTTCCTTCCTTCTGGATGTTTGCTAATGAGTAATGGGTGGCAGTATAACACTTTCTTTGCTAATTCCACTGTCTAACATTCAAAGGGCTTTTTGTCTGTGGTGTTACCTTTCTGCCCCTCCCTGTATGCATTTTTTATATTTATTTATTCATTTATTTTAGAAATGGAGTTTCGCTCTTGTTGCCCAGGCTGGAGTGCAGTGGTGCGATCTCGGCTCACTGCAACCTCCACATCCTGAGTTCAAGCAATTCTCCTGCCTCAGCCTCCCAAGTAACTGGGATTATAGGTGTGCGCCACCACACCTGGCTAATTTTTTTGTATTTTTAGCAGAGATGAGGTTTCATCATGTTGGCCGGGCTGGTCTCAAACTCCTGACCTCAGGCGATCTGCTCACCTCGTCCTCCCAAAGTGCTGGGATTACAGGCATGAGCCACCGCACCCAGCCTTCTATACATTTTTTTATGACAGGCAGTCCTTAGCCCCAGTGTTGTGAGAAAACCTCAGTTTCCCCACCAGTATGTTGATGGGTCTGAACTAATCAATGGTGTTAAACTTTATAAGCCTGAGAGCCTTCCCTTCGCATGCTCCCTAACATGTGAGGTGGATATGTGTGAGGCTACCCTGGTGGGAAGAAGAGGCTAGGTCCCCCAGCTGGCCCACCATACCCCTCATCCTCTATCCCTATGCCACTCAGCTCTGGGGTTCTGAGGAGAAGCTTCTAGTCAGCCCACAATTCTGCCTAGCCTCAGTCCTTTTTGGCCTGTCCCCTCCCTGGGCTCTAGCCACTCTGGTCCCAGAGGACACCCAGACCTGCAGTGAGGTCAGGGTTGGAATGAGGGGTTGGAAACTGTAGGCAAGGGTCAGACATGGGCTGGGGGCCTCGGCCCTGCCTGCTGCCTCCAACAGCCTACTCCCTTCAAGGACCAGCCTGCTCTGGCCTGGGGAGGGGTGCAGGGGCTGGGGTCCGAGGGCTGCAGAGACCTGGGTGAGGAAGAAGGAGGACTGGGCCAGCCCCCTCTTTCCCTTGTCTCCTGCCCTTTCCCCAGCAAGACCCTGAGACTATTTACATCCTGCCTCTAAGATCTCAGCTGTTCTAGGATTCCATTCTCTCTCGGCTCTATTTTTCTTCTTTTGCAATCTCCAAGAAACCCGAGCTGCCAGATGGGTGGGGGCGATGATTGTTTTCTGTCTAACATCTGGATTTCATTAGCAGCCCTGGGCATGCTGACTCAGGAATGGCAGTTCCCCTGGGCTCAGGCCCTCCCAGACCTCTCGCGGCGCCCTGTTCTTAGCTGGACACAAGAGGCACAGGTGACAACACCCCTCAGACCTCCCTCAAAGGAGTAATGAGTACCACTAACAATGTCTCAGAAGTGATGGAAACGGGTTCTAGAGAGCTTCTGCTCCCAGGTCAGTGCCTGAAGGGTGGCTGTCAGGCTGGGCATGGCTGGGCCTGACAGCCGTGAAGGGCAAAGAGACAGCTTAGGAAAAGTTGCCTTTGGGTTAAAAATTCAAGGCTGTATCCTTTGACCTCAACAAGATATCACCCACGTCAACATCAGGATCCTTACTGTGGGCATGTGGACCCTCCCCCTGCCTGAGCTTTAGTGGAGTGGTAGTACGTGAAGTTTTCATGTCCTATCATAGGAGAGACCCACAGTGGCCACCCAATCGAAAGCTGCCCCAGACACCCTTCAGGGCTTCATTATGACTTCTGTGGACCCTAGGCACTTTTGCCTTTGTGGGCCCTTTTTGCATAAAACCTTATTAAAAATTTTATTTTCTGGCTGGGCATGGAGGCTCATGCCTGTAATCCCAGCACTTTGGGAGTCCGAGGCAGGCAGATCTCTTGAGGTCAGGAGTTTGAGACCAGCCTAGCCAACATGGTGAAACTCTGTCTCTACTAAAAATTCAAAAATTAGCCAGGCGTAGTGGCGGGCGCCTGTAATCCCAGCTACTCGGGAGGCTGAGGGAGGAGAATAGCTTGAACCTGGGAGGTAGAGCTTGCAGTGAGCTGAAATGGCGCCACTGGACTCCAGCCTGGGTGACAGAGTGAGACTCCATCTCAAAAAAACAAAAACAAACAAAATATATATACTATATATATATATATATATATATATATATTTTCTGACTGCATTGGTGTAAACACAAATCTCCAGGCTGAGTTCATAATTATATATTCACTATTATACCCATTTTCTCATCTGGTTATAAAATAAATACAAATAGGCAAATAGAAACATATCTGTGGCCGGGTGCAGTTGCTCCCGCCTATAATTCCAGCATTTTGGGAGGCCAAGGCAGGCGGATCACTTGAGGTCAAGAGTTTGAAACCAGCCTGGCCAACATGGTAAAACTCCGTCTCTACTAAAAATACAAAAATCAGTCAGGCGTGGTGGCAGGCACCTGTAATCCCAGCTACTCTGGAGGCTGAGGCAGGAGAATCGCTTGAACCCAAAAAGTGGAGGTTGCAGTGAGCTGAGATCGCGCCACTGCACTCCAGCCTGGGCAACAGAGCGAGACTCCGTCTGAAAAAAAAAAAAAAAAAAGAAAAGAAACATATCTGTGGACCCTAAAAGTATCATGGGCCTAAGCATGCATGCTACTAACTACTAACTCCTGCTACTCCAGGAGAAGGCAGCCCAGTGCACACTATGAAAGCACTCTTCTGTGTTCTTCATCTGATCTGATAGTTCCCTAGTTCCCACTGATTTGTACTTACTGCCTGACTTCACCAACTGCAACACAAGCTCCTAGACAGAGGGAGCCTTTCCTGTTTTGCTCATTGTGGTGTCCTCTAATGCTTGCTATGTGTCTGACACACAGTAGATGTTCAATAAATAACTGCAGAGTGGAAGGCGAGCCTACCTGTTTATGCACGTGTATTTGTATCCCAGTTGGCAGCTGATTTGCCCAGGCAGCCACCGTAAAGATCTGGTAGCCCTCCTTGCTGCCTGCTCCCTCTTCCCTCTCACTGGGCACCACGGCCCATAGATGGTACTTTTCCATTCCAGAATCCATTCCCTCCCCTTCAGCTTCTGCTCACCGCTGTCTTGTGTCCAGTCATCAGTCCCTATCCATGTTCAGGGGCTGGCTTCCTTAGCGTTCTTGCCTCCTTCAGCCCAGCCTCCAACCTGCCACTAGCAGGATCTTTCAAAATGCCAATCTGAGCATGTCACCTAAAACCCTTCTCCCTGGCCTCCAGATAAAGTCCAAGTTTGCACAGCCTGTCACACAAGCCCTTCATCACCTGTTCCAGCCACACCCCCACTCCTCCCCCAGGAGCGCCTGCTGTGGCCCAGGGCTCACAGTGCCCGGAAAGCATATTCCTGTTATTTACACGCTTGCTTGGAAGCCTTCCCCACTCCAAATCCAAGCTCCTCCTCTCTGAGGCCTCCCACGAAGCTCCAGGCTGAGCTGGGCCTGCACAGTAAACCTCACCACAGCCCTGGTCCCCCAGAGTGGCCAATACTCTTTCTATCTGTACCACCGAGGACAGGGGAAGGGCCTTATCCAGCACAGGCCTGGTGCACAAGAAACTCTCAGGAATGGTTGGGTGATGGGAACATGTCTGGAGTCCTGCTCTGTCCTGGACAGACTGTGTGTCCTGGGCACAGATGTGGCACTGCGCCAGGCCCCCACCACAGACCCCTACAGGCAAGTGCAGCTGGCTCACAGCAACACATTGCTGCTCAGGCCTTCAGAGTCCTGACCCATCAGCGTGCAGAGGCCAAAACGAGATACCAGGCGACCCTGCAGGCAGGCCCAGCAGATATCAACCATGCCGCCCTGCAGTCACTGGGTTTTCTGTTGCCACCAGAGCTGGCAATCCCAACCCACTCCTGACCTGCCTGACTAAACTGGGGCAGCAGACACCCTGAGGCTGGGTGGTGAAACTACCAGGCACACCAACTTGGCCAGACCAGGCTTGGGATGGCCTCTGCCCACATTGTCCTTGACCCTCTCTACTTCCAGTCATCTATCTTTTTAAAGAACCCTGACTTTCTGAGAATGATAGTGGAGATCAAAGTCTGGATGCCAAGGGTGATGCAGGATGATATTGAAAAAGCATGCGCTCTGGAATCAGGAGCACCTGAGTTCCAATTCCAGCTTTGATATTCACTAGCTGTGTGGCCTTGGGCAAGTCACTCCACTTCTCTGGGTCTCAGTTTTATCATCTGGCAATTGAAGATCACTATAGTACCTACCGAGACAATTTTTGACAGCATTAAATGAGCTAATACATAGAATATGCTAAACCCAGTGGTAAACTCAGTGCTTAGAAGCTATTGCTATTGTATAGTGTATGATATTATTATTACCTTGGGGCCGGATGGCTGGTGCACTACATGAGGACAATAGCAGCTGTTTTTTCAAGAAGCAAATGATAGACACTCTTGAGTCCTAATCCTTCTTGGTTCAGTGCTGACATTGGCCGGACCATGGCTAGACCATGACTAGACCATGGCCTAGGCACAGCCTCACCCCACAAGGATGGACTGCCCTTTGTTGACATTCAGAATTGGCTTCTAGCACCTTCTCCCTCTGTTTTGGGGTTTCCCAGTCTTCCTGCCAGTGTCCAATCCCCCTTCCACTGCCCTGGGGATATGTGAGAGGCCCCATCAGTCTGATGAGCTGAGCTCTGGACACCTCTATCCTACTCTTAAGGTGAGAAAGGACCAAGTAATAAGTGACCAACCCCTGGCTCCCGTGGCAGTGAATGCTTTAAGCTTGCTTTCACTGTTGCCCTCCTCAGACCCCGGGGGCTCCATGGGCAGCTTCAGGACCTAGGCAGGGTGGGCCTAGTGTTCTGCACATTTTACTCCCAGTTAGACCATTAAAGGTTTTTAAAGCATTTAGATCATTTAAAAATCATCTCACAGAAGGAGAGGAGATAAAGGAGCAGAAAGAATATTTGAAGAAATCATGGCTGAAAACTTTCCAAATCTGATGAAAAAATTTAAACAATACGTCCAAGCACTTCAACAGACTTTAAGCAGGATAAACATAAAGAGATCCACAAACAGACACAGTATAGTAAAACTGCTGAAAGCCAAAACAAGGAGCGAATAGAGCTACATAGGAGTAACATTTCTCTATCTCACTGGAATCAAGTTATAAATCTGAGGCATTCTGGTAAGACACAATGTATAAGATAAGCCCTAGAGCAACCCTAAAAAAATAACTCACAAAACATAGTGAAAAAAAATCATTAAAGAAATTAAAATGTTAGTTAGAAAATCAATGCAAAAGAAAGCAATTTATTGTGTTATTCTTTAGAAGGAATAGAGAAATAAAAAAGACATGAGTAATTTAGAAAGCAAATGGCAGTAAAATGGCAGACCTAAATCTACGTCAAAAAGAGCATTAAATGTGAATGGATTAAACAATCCAATCAAAAGGCAAGGATTTTCAGATTAGACAACAAAAAACAAGATCAACTATATGCTATCTACAGGAGATGCACTTTAAATTCAAATATATGAATAGGTTGGAAATAAAAGATAGGAAAATATCTGTCATGTAATCTGCAACTATTAGAAAGCTAGGTATACTAATATCAGACAAAATATACTTTAAAACAAAAAAAAAACAGTTACTAGAGAAAAAGAAGGACATTTTATAAGGATAAAATGATTAATCCATCAAGAAGATACAACAACTATAAACATAGGTGTACCTAATAATAGAACACTCAAATGAATGAAGCAAAAACTGACAGAATTGAAGAAAGAAATAGACAAACAATAATTTCTGGAGGCTTAAATATCCCCACTTAAAATAATAATAAAAGAACTGGGCAGAATATCAACAAAGCAGGAGGAGACATAGACATCACTATGAACCAACTAGACCTAACAGACATCTATAAAACACTCCACCAAACAACAGCAGAATACATTTCTCTCAAGTGCACACAAAACATTCTCCAGAATAACTCATAATGTTAGGTTCTGAAACAAACCACAATAAATTTAGAAGGGTTAATATAATATAAAATATCTTCTATGACCACAATGGAATAAGGTTAGAAATCACTAAAAGATGTGTGGGAAACACGCAAATATGTGGATATTAAACAACACACTCCTAAATAACCAGTGAGTCAAAGAGGAAATCACAAGGGAAATAAAAAAAAAAAATGCCCTGTGATAAATGAAAATAAGATACAATATACCAAAACTTATGGGATGGGGCTCAGAGGAAAATTCATAGCTGTAATTATCTACATTGAGAAAAGAAGGGGCCAGACACAATGGATCATGCCTGTAATCCCAGCACTTTTGGAGGCTGAGATGGGAGGATTGCTTGAGCCCAGGAGTTTGAGTCTGCAATGAGTTATGATCACAGCACCGCACTCCAGCCTCGGTGACAGAGTGGAATCCTGTCTCCATAAAAAGAGGAAGGATGAAAGGATAGAAGGAAGGAAGGAAAAGAAAAGAAGGATATAAAATCAGTATCTTAACCTTCCACCTGAAGAAACTAGAAAAAGAAGAGCAAACTAAATCTAAAGCAAGCTGATGGAAGGAAATAATAAATATTGAAGTGGAGAATTGAAAGCGAGCAAAGATACTTATAAACCCTCGATCACAGCAGCAGTATTCACAATAACCAAAAGGTGGAAGCAATCCAGTTGTCCATTGATGGGTGAACTGATTTAAAAATGTGGTATATACATACAATGGAATATTACTCAGCCTTAAAAAGGAATGAAATGGATACATGCTACAGTGTGGATGAAACTTGAGGAAATTATGCTAAGTGAACTGAGCCAATCACCAAAAGACAAACGCCATGTGATTCCACTTATATGAGGTATTTAGAGTAGTCAAATTCAGAGACAGAAGGTAAAATGGTGGTTGCTGGGGGGCAGGGAGGGAGAATTATTATGCAATGGGTACAGTATTTCAGTTTTGCAAGATAAATTTCAGTTTTGCAAGATAAATTTCAGTTTTGCAAGATAAATTTCAGTTTTGCAAGATAAATTTCAGTTTTGCAAGATAAAAAGAGCTCTGTGGCTGGAAGGTGGTGATGGTCATACAACGATGTGAATGTATTTAATGCCACGAACCGTAAGCTAAAAATGGTTAAGATGGTAAATTTTATGCCATATGTATTTTAAATATAATTTAAAAGTAAAGATGCAAGTGGAAATTAATGAGATAAATAATAGAAAAAAATAGAGAAAATCAGCTAAACCAAAAGTTTGTTCTTTGAAAAGTCCAAAATAATTGACAAAACTTTAGGTAGATTAAACAAGAAGAAAGAGAGGACTCAAATTGCAAGAATCAGAAATGAAAGAAGTAACATTATTAACGACCTTACAGAAATAAAAAGGATTATAAAAGAATACTATGGATAACTGTATGCCAACAAATTAGACAAATTAGATAAAATGGAAAAATGCCTAGGAAGATGCAAACTGTAGTAACTGAGTCAAAAAGAAATAAAAAAAAATCAGAATACTCTATAATGAGTAAAGAGTTCAGAGCAGTCATCAAAAATCTACCCACAAAAGAAAGCCCGGGCGCAGACGGCATCGCAGGTGAATTCTATCAAACATCTGGAAAATAATTACTGCTGATACTTTACAAACTCTTCCAGAAAATATAACAGGAAGGAACACTTCCTAACACACTATAACATGGATGAACCATGAAAATATTATGCTAAGTGAAAGAAGCCAGTCATAAAAGACCACATGTTACATGATTCTAGTTATATGAAATGTCCAGAATAGACAGATCTACAGAGAGAGAAATAGATGAGTGGTTATGGATGCGAGGGGATGGATGATCAAGAGGTGACATCTGGGCCAGGAGAGGTGGCTCATGCCTGTAATCCCAGCACTTTGGGAGGCTGAGGCAGGTGGATCACTTAGACCAGGAGTTTGAGACCAGCCTGGCCAACATGGTGAAACCCCATCTGTATTAAAAACAGAAAAATTAGCCGGGCATGATGGCAGCACCTGGATTCCCAGCTACTCGGGAGGCTGAGGCATGAGAATCACTTGAGCACAGGAGGTGGAGGTTGCAGTGAGCCAAGATGATGCCACTGCACTCCAGCCTGGGCAACAGAGCTAGACTCTGTCTCAAAAAAATAAAAAAAAGAGGTGATACCTAAGGAGTATGAAATTCCTTTTCAAGGTGATGACAATGTTCTCTGATTGAGGTGACAGCTGCACAACTCCAGGCATATACGAAAATCACTGAATTGTACACTTCAAATGGGAATTATATGGGAAGTGAATTGTATCTCATAAAGCTGTTCCCAAGAAAATCCTTCTACTTTTAAATATTATAGAAATTAGGTTCTAACACACTATTTCATTTGTGACACAGGTTTCTTTCTGTGGTTTATAAAAGCCCTGTCAACCCGTTCCTCCCTTCAGGGAGCCTTGCACTGAGCACCGCTGCGTGTGAGGTCCCTTGAGCTGGCGTGGTCAGATGGTGAGGAGCACAGAGATGAATCCAGCCCAGCACCTGCCCCTGGAGCTATGGCCAGGTGAGGGGTAGACAGCATCCAATCAGGTTCTAGCCTGCCCAAATACCTAGTGCCTTGCCAGATGGGTGCACTCTTCATAGTGACCCAAAGGAGAAAAAAATGCTAGCCAACATTTACTAAGCACTTCCTGTGTCCAGGCACTGTGCTAAGCACCTTCCATGCATAGTTTCACTATGTCCTCACAATACCCTGGGTGTCAGTGCTCTCCTTAGCCTCATGGGACAGGCGACGAAACTGATGCTGCGAGCCTCTGTCTGTCCTCCCACCACTCATGAAGGGAGGAAGAAGGTGCTTGGGCCTTCACGAGTCCAGGACAGAATCAAGTTTGGAATGGAGCCAGGAGAAGGCCTCAATCAGCTTGAGTGAGAAACTGAGGCCCCACAGACCATGCAGGTCTTAGCTTGGAGTGACAAGGAGCTTAAGGAGGCAAAGAATACAGAAATCCTGAGACTGGGGATCTCGTATACATTCTGCCCTCTCCACCTCCCCAAGACTGTAAAATGAGGCCTCTGCTCCTCCTTCTGCCGTAGAGTTAAGAGTCCAATATGAGATGATGATCTCTATGAAGGAAGATCCCACGTTAGCACTGTGCTGGAAGGTGCCAGGGACCTTCTGCCCCAGCATTTAGAAGAGCGCTGGCCCTGTCAGGAGAGAGGATGGTGCATGCATGTGCACATACACTCACACACACACACCACACACACACACACACACACACACACCCTCTGCTATCCCCGGGCCTCTGGCTCACATCCATTGCCTTTGGATATTGGTCACCCTGGGGGAGGCCCTGCCACCCTTCTCCAAAGCCCTTCTCCTGGTAGCATTCCCAGGCTACCAGCCCAGAGTAAGCATACCTCCTCGGGGCTCCAGAGCCCCTGTTGATGTCTGAGTGTCACCTGCCTGCCTGGATTAAAATCCCAGCTCTTCCATTGATAGCTCAATAATCCTGTGTGAGTCCCTTCCTCCCTCGAAGCATCTGTTTCCCCATGGAAAATGAGGCAAATAGAGCACTTAACACATAGAGTAGTTTCATTAAATGAAATACTGCTTGGAGAGCACTCAGCACAGTGCCTGTCTCCTTAACGGAGCTCAGTCTGGCTCTGCCCACTTCCCAGGCTGTAGGCAGGGGATGAGGGAGGGCTGCTGTGGATGGCTGTGTGCACATGAGCTGGGGGCCCCTGTGCTGGGGCTCAGCTGGACAAAGTGCAACAGGCTATGGACTGCACAGGCCATGAGCATGCCCTTAAGGACCAACTAGATCCTCAGTTGCCTGTTTGCCCCTCATTCTATCCAGAGAACCCCAGGGGGGCTGAGGGTACTCACTCTCTGCTGGGAGCCAATAGCCTCCTGCTTACTGTGTATATTGAGGGGGAGGACAGGACCCACTGGAGATGTGGGGTCTGCAGGAAAGTCGTCAGTGGGTCAGCTCCCACTATGTATGCAGAGTCTGGGATGGGGGCACACAGATCACCTGGGGACCTTGCTAAGATGCTGCTCTGAGAGCCTGCAATTGTAATAGCTCCCTGGAGGCACTGATGCATCTCTGCCAGGGCCGTACTCTAAGCGGCAAGAACCTGAAGCATGGTGTGGCCGTTTCTGAGCAGGGTTTGGGAATGTAATGAATGACAGCACATTTTGGCCTCCCACTGGTCCTGAAGGGACCCAGCCCCACCCAACCACACGTCAGTTTCCAACATCTGGAGGGGAACACTACATGCATTTCCAGAGTTTCCAGGATTCCATTTCCATTACAAACGTAAAATAAAAGTAATGCCACATTATAAAAAAAGTTGGAAAATAGGAAAAACTAATAGGAAAAAAAATCACTGATAATCTCATGCTGTACTTAAAATGACTACTACCCTCTTTTCCCAGGATCCCAAAACCATGTCTATCAGTGGGTCAGGGACCATCCTGTAGGTGGGCTGGCATGGTAGGCCCACTCTGTCATACTGAAGCATTGGATCAGGTGGGGGCCTCGATCTGCCCGACCCTCCCTTCTCACTCCAAGAAAGAGATGCTCCGCCCTGCAGTGCCTGAAGCCTTCCCCCAGCCCTATCCTGGGAGCACAGAGTGTGGGGCAGGGCCCCTCCCCTCTTCCCTCACAGGCTGAGGAGGCAGAGGTGGGGTTCAGGGGAGGGGGTGCACATCTGGATTCCTGGCCCAGAGCCTGCATTCCTTCCCCGTGAATGTGATGAGATGGGGCCTCCAGGGAGCTGTGAGGAGACTGCCCCCTCAGAACAGGCCCCACCTAGCAAAAAAGACTGGTGGAGACCCAAAGGCACAGAACCTCCTTTGGGGGCCCAGTTCGGGTCCAAAAATCCCCCACCCAGATTGCTGACCAACCAGCGTGGGCCCAAGATGGGCCTCTGTCCTGACCACACCAGCCAGCCTTGCCTCAGAAATCCCAGCAGGGACAAAAGGGTAGAGGCCAGAGGACCACGGGGCCACTCATTGGTGGAAGGGGCCCTGGGGACACTGCTTCGCCTGCCCTACCCACAGGAGCCTGTCCGCAGGTCAGTAGGGGAGCCCAAGAGCACCCCCTGGGCCAGGGCTGCCTTACCTGGGGGCAGTCCTTGATGTAGTGTCCTTTGTTGAAGCACAGGTGGCACAGGTAGTTGGGTGGGGGCCGCTTGCTGGGCTTGCGAGCCTCGGAGGTGAGGGTCAGGTCTGAGAAGTGCTCGGTGAGGGAGCTGAGGCCATCGGCGATGTTGTTGAGGGAGCCATAGGGTGAGGCGCCCTTGTACACACTGTTGCTCAGCGCCTGTGGGAGACAGAGGCACATATACTACAGCCTCTGCCTTGGGAGAAGTTCCATAACCCCCCACCCAAACACACGCATGGATTCACACTGAGTCTTCAGCTACCCGAGGGCTCTGGGCTCCAGAAGCCTGAGTTCAAATCCTAACTAGTGTGTCTCCATGGACAAGCCAGTTAACTACTCTGGGCCTCAGTGGCCCTATCTGCAAAATGGTCCTAGTAACAGCTCCTCCTAGGGTTTCTATGAGGCTAAAATGAGGTCATGAATGGAAAGTAGTTTATCTCATGCCTGGCACTTCAGAACCACTCAGTAAATGGCAATGATGTTGATGATGGCTATTATTATTATTACCATTAGTTCTTAACATACTGCCATGAGGTAAGAACATATAGTAGAAAGCAACCTGTCAGATTTGGGGCTCTGCCACTAACTGGTGGGGTGACTTTAGGAAAGTCACTGCTGACTCAGTTTCCCCACCTTGTAAGGAAAGGGAATGTCAGCTTGCGGCATTGCTCCCGCTTCACACTAGACAAGACTGAAGCCCAGCCCTTTGCCAGGTTTCCTGCAGCCCGAGGCTTGTGTAGTCTGTGTGTGGGGAGCCCTCAGCCTGGCCCTAAACCACCTCTCTGGAAGCCCAAGGAGGGAAGTGGTCCATCTCTCTCACCTCCAGATGACAGGAACCAGACATCTTGCTTAGCTTCAAAGCAGACGTGGCCCAGGCCCCCTCCTGGTATATACAGCCTCTATTTATAGGAGTCACGGGCTCCGGGCTGCCTTGCATACTGGAATTTAGCGAAGGTGGGGCTGGCAGGGAGCAGCCAGGGGTCCCCCTTTCCTGGAGCAAGGCCAAGGCTGAAAGAGGCGGCCTCCCCAGGAGGGTCAACAACAAATCTGGGCTTGGGGCTTAAGTATCTCCTGGCCCCAGCACAGGTGCCCAAGAACTGCAGGAATAAGCTGCGGACCTTGGGGGGCCTTGTGTCTGATGGGGAGACAAGGATTTGTTTTGGGGAGTTCCAGGCTGAAGGGGAAACAGGGCCTCTGAAAGGAAGGGCCTCAGGCTCCCTTACAAAGATGGGGCAGACAGAAGCCCAGGTTGGGGACAGTCCTTTCTGTGTTCCCTTAGCATAGGCAGGGGAGGGAGGCGAGCTGCAAGCTGGCCCCAGGGCACAGGGCACAGTCTTGCCTCCCCCAACTGAAGCAGATCCTACTTTGCACAAGTATGTGTCCCAGCCACCCAACTGTATCCATCTGCAGGCATCTGCCACTCCCCTCCTAGAGACATGGTCCTCATCATCTGGGTGCCACTGATGTTCTTGGTGCCTCAGGACACACGGCTGTGTGACCACAGCCCTTTCCTTCTGGGACTCTGTTCCGTCTCGTGTGCATCTGGATCAGAGCCTGGGATGCGGAAGGAAAGACACAGACACCACATCGGGGGCAGGCCAGCCCAGCACACAGTCACCTATAGTGACTGGGAAGGATTTCAATGGGTCCAACTGACTGTAACTTCTGTATCACTGCCTGGCCCGACCACCAAATCCAGGACCAGTGGAAGATTCCACATTGACCTGCGTTCAGCCTGATGGGCACTCCAGCTCTCAGATGAATCCAAGATGGAGCAGTCCACCTTGAGAAGCAGAGGGTCCCCCGTCCCTGGAGCTGTGGGAGCCAATGGGGGTCAACCTTCCACGGCATGGGGGAGAGTTCTGATAAAAACCACATCACAGGATAACAGTGACACAGACCAAGCTCTTACTGTGACCCCAGCACTGGAAATTTTACACGTATTCAGATAGCTGATTCTGCCCACAACTCTATGAGTCACTATCCCATTTTACAGATTACATGAGTGTGCCCCAACCTGTATTGAATGACCTGGGAAGCTTATAACAAACAGTTTTCTGGGCCCCACCTCAGACCTACCAAAGCAGCCACCTGGAATCGAGGGCCCGAAATCTGTATTTTTAGGTGTGCGGCAAAATATACACAACAAAATTGACCATTTCAATGATTTTTAAGTGTACAGTTGAGTGGCATTAAGAGCATTCATGCTGTTGTGCAGCCATCGCCACCGTCCAGCTCCAGAACTTTTTCATCTTCTCAAACTGAAACTCCATGCCCGTGAAACAACAACGCCCCCGCCTACTGCAGCCCAATCTGTATTTTTCAAGCTCCCCCAGGCAATTCAGGTACAACCAGCCCAGCCCCACCCAGCCTTGGAGCACCTGGACTTCCCAACCACCAGGGTCTCCCCTTATCTTGACTCGAAGACTTTCCCCACACCAGAAGGCCCCCTCCCCCTCCAAATCCGCCCCAGCCTCCCAGAGAAAAGTTCATCCAAACAAGAAACTTGAAGCCCCAAATGGTGTGACTCACCCTCATGGCTGGGAAACACAATTTCACAAATAACAACCCTCTTAATATTTTTTTCTTTTTCTTCCTTTCTTTCTTTCTTTTTTTTTTATTTTTATTTTTTTTCCCCTGGATAAGATTTAAGCAAGTCCACAGGAATCAGGCTGTTTGGCAGCAAATTGTCAAGAGGAAGGGGAAGTTTGGTGGGTGCCAGAAAGTGCACTAATTACACCCTGAAAAACCTCTCCCCCATCTTGCGGCCACAGTCCCCTGCCCACGGACGGCCCCACAGGCATCCCTGGGCAGCCAGAGGCCTCTAAGCGGGTGCCCTCTCCTTGGCAGCTCGACACCCCACCCTCTGGAGGGCCGCAGCCTTGCCCCTGCCCCAGGCAGCTCCACAGTGAGAGAAGTGAGGCCAGAGCTTCCCCTCCTCATGGCCTTCCCACCTCTAGTGCCCTCCAGCCTGTCTCCAGGGAATTAGGGCCCATCCCCCAGCCCTAATTCCAGACGAACGCTACCTTAGAGCCGAAAGGGTAGAGACCGTCAGCTGACCCTACCTCATTCCCACATGAAAGATGGGGAAACTGAGGCCCACAGGGGCACAGGGACGCAGACCAGGGTACCCAGCCAGGCCCCAGGGCCAGAAATCCTGCTTGGCTGGCCAGTGTGAAGGGTGGGTGAGGCAGTGAGCTGCTTCCTCTCTGAGGCCCCGTTTGAGCTCAGGCCAGGGAGG
This sequence comes from Homo sapiens, assembly GCF_000001405.40. Classification (NCBI taxonomy): domain Eukaryota; kingdom Metazoa; phylum Chordata; class Mammalia; order Primates; family Hominidae; genus Homo; species Homo sapiens. Next base: position 79,435,841 of record NC_000010.11, read on the forward strand.
TGAAAGGCAAATCAGTCTCCTGGTTGTTTCCACAGCCTGTGGGGACTGGATGGAACAGAGGCCAGGACCCAGAGCTCTATCCCCCTCCTGCTCGGAGCTGGGGCTTGGCCTCTTGGGTTTCCCATCTGTACAGTGTAAAATGGAGCGGGGAAGGGGGAAGAAGGGTGACCTTGCTGATCCCTGTGGTCCTGCTTTCCTAGGGTCCAGACACCCGGGTCCTGAGAGACGCCCCTGGAGCCTGGCATGCAGAGGCCGACACAGGCACCATCTGTTCTGTGGCCTTCCTTCTGTGGCTGGAGTGCAAGGTGGCCCTAAAAGCCTTCATCTGTCAGCCCTAACCCTGCTCCTCTCACCATGCCCACCGCGCAGCTCTGCCTTTCTCCCTCCAGCCCACACTTGCTGCCTCAGCCTGGGAATGCCCTTCTCTATGTCCATCCAGAACCCCTCCAGGGCCTGGCTCCAGATCGGGCTCTAACTCCAGGGTTGTGGCCTTGACCTCATCCTTTCCCCTTACTCAGGCCTCAGGCTCCAAGGAAAAGCATGAAAAGCACAGATCCAGGTGCTCCTGAAGCACCCCCGGCCATAGAGGCCCCGACTCCCACCAGAGGCCTTGCTGACCTCTCCCACCCCAGCGTAGCCCAGTCAGCACTGCGGTTGGCAGGAGGGGGCGCAGGGATCATGGCGCAGCCCCGCCTGAGTGACCAATGGAGCTCTGAAGTCGCTCTCTAATCTCTCCCCGTGTGTGAGGCCTCCTCACCTCTCCCACAAGGCTGGACATCCCTGAAGACAAAGGTTCTGCAACCCTCCATTGCCCCACAGCCTGCCCTGGGTGCGATGGTCACCAGCAGGGAAGGGCCTGCCCAATTGACAGATAGGGTAACAGATGCCCTAGCGGTCTCATTTCCATGGGCCGAGTGGAGGGGCACTCCCACCTTAGATTAGGCTGCTCTGGGCACTGGTGCAGGGCAAAGCCACTTATGGGGTAAGTGGAAGCCCCTGGGCCATCTAGGCCCAGATCACCAGGCTTAGGGAAGAGGCCACCTCTCTTTCCTCCCTAGGTCAGTGACCCCAGCAGGTAGCAGGAAGGATGTGACCCTCACACCGCATCTGGGGGACCATGCATCACACTCCTGCCCAGTGCTGGAACTTCTCCAAGGTTTTTGCTTGGCTGTTGGGGAAAGGAAGGTGGGAAGACGTTATAGTTTACTTTTTTTTTGAGACAGGGTCTTACTGTTCTTACTCTGTCACCCAGGCTGGAGTGCAGTGGCACAATCACAGCTCACTGCAGCCTAGACTTCCTGGGCTCAGGTGATTCTCCCACCTCAGCCTCTCAAGTAGCTAAGACAACAGGTACATGGCACCACGGCTGGCTGATTTTTTGTATTTATTATTTGTAGAGATGAGGTTTCACCATGTTGCCCAGGCAGGTCTCAAACTCCTGGGCTCAAGGGATCTGCCTGCCTCAGCCTCCCAAAATGCTGGGATTACAGGCATGAGTCACCGTGCTCGGCCTGTGGTTTACTCTGATCATGCGGTGTGTCATATATTTGACTAAATCTTTTACCTTTCTTAGTCCCCTCTTACCTGGCAAGAATACTATTCAAATGGGCATTATTGGCCCCATTTTATAGAGCTAGAAACTGAGGCTCAGAGAGGCTGAGCGATTTGCCCAAGGTAACGCAGCCAGCACGTGTTGCCCTGTTATATTTCAGCCTCTACATGGCCTCCAAGGCTTGACCTCCCCTATAGGAAGGGGAGTCAGAGGAAAATGCCAGGTGCGGACCACTCTACTTGGCACAGAGGCCCTGTGACATCATATGCTAGGCCCCTCGGCCCTGGCAAGATGAAGGACCAGTGTCTCTGCGCTGCATGAGGGGTGCAGGCCCTGGGCATGGTGGTTCTGCTGCAGAATACGGGGTGCAGAGACAGAGATTTCCAAGGCTGACTCCAGTTCTCCCCGGAGCAAGCCTGACAAGAGGGACTTCTTCTCTTTTCTTCCTTCCCTGCAGGACAGTAGGTAGGCACAGCAGGTGAGGGGTAGCAGGAGTTAGGGCAGGAGGGTAGAAGCTGCAGAGGGCAGCCCAGAGGGAGAAGAGAGGGCACAGAAACAGGACAAGAGACAGATAGGAGAGGCAGTGACAGCAGGCAGGATGGGGAGCAGCATGTGCTGGGAAGGACATGGCCACAGTGAGACCATGGAAAAGGCAGCGTCTGGGCCAGGCTACCAGGCACGGCAGAAGCAAGGGCTGAGTCCTGCTCCCCAGGCCTGAGAAGGCCCCGGAGGAGGAACTCTGATTCGAGTCCCTAGCTCTGTAGGGGTTCCTTTCATCAGCTGAACAACCGCTTTCTTATCCCAAAGCCACCCCTACTCCACCCCACAGACACGCGCACACACACACGCACCCACACTCCTCTGTTTGGGACAAGAGATCATTCATCTCGCAAATGAATCCACCCTGCTCCCAAGGGGATCTGTACTTCCTCCACCCCAGGCATCTATCTGCGGCTGGTCAAACACATACATGTCCGATATATACAGAGGTGGACACCAGCCGGTCTCAGGGAGACAAGGAGATAGCCCGTGGGCAAGGCGGGAAGCGAGCCAATGGGAAAACATGGCCACACCTTGACTGAGGGTTTTCAGCTGTGCTCAGCCCCTGGCTCTGTTTGTTTCCCAGGTCTAAAGCTGACCCATGGGCCAGGACAGTGCTGGGCTGGCCACGACAGGCACAGCAACCCTTCACCCAGGACTCCAGAGGGCACCACTGCCTCCTGGAGGCCCATTCACCCAGCAAATGTAAAACACAGTTCCCTGGACACAGTCAGTGCTTAGCAAAAGATTCTTATTTAAATCACAAGTCTAGGTTATTTTTGGTGGGGGAGTGGGCAGAGAGAAATAGGGAAAGGACCCAGGAAAGGGGGAGCAGACAGTGCCAGCAGGACAAAGCAGAGGAGACCTGGGGAGATCCCTTTCCTCCTTGGTTCCAACAGCTCCAGCCCAGGGTCACCACTCACCTGACAGGTGCTCACGTTTCACAGCTATAAGCCCTCTGCCCAGCTAGTGTGTAAGCACTGGGGACCGGGCTGCCTCTTACTGCTAGAGCATATTTGTTGAATGAAAGCAGAGAGCAAGAATATGAGAATCCCAGGACTGGAAAGGACCCGCATATTTAGCTAGACTGTACTCTGTCTGGAGTACCACTGAGGCTTGCAGCCTCCATTGCAGGGATCCTTGATCTGTGATCCACTGTGGGCATGAAGGTGTGTGTGATCCCACTGAAATCACATGCAAACATGTGTATATGCATGTGCACGCATGCTTATGTTCTGTGCCTTGTGCTGGCAGCAGAAACTCTAGTTGTCTTCAGATTCTCAAAGAGGTCCCTAACCAAAGAAGGTCAAGGACCATTCATCAGCATACCCAAGCCTCTGCTGAAACACTTGTAGGGGACAAGGTTTCACTATCTCCCAAGTCAGCTCATTCCAATGAATCAAGAAATCGATACATATTTTTTTCTGTGAGACAAAACAAAAGGTGAAGAGGCTCAGGAGAGTACTTACATGCTCACAAGTCAGGAGGTGGAAGGGAGGAGGGGAGGTTACAATTCAAGACACCCACCCACGTAGAAAACATTAACTAAGCAGCTAGCATGTCCTGCACGCTAAGAACCAGATGCCAGGACTACTAAGTAGAAAAGACAAGATTCCTACTCTCAGGGTGCTGACAATCTAACTACTGAGACAGACACACATATTGCTATTACAGAACAAGACCAATCCTTCAGACATGCTTTACAAAAAATTAGCCAGGTGTGGTGGCAGGCGCCTGTAATCCCAGCTATTGGGGAGGCTGAGGCAGGAGAATCTCTTGAACCTGGGGGGAGGTGGAGGTTGCAGTGAGCAGAGATTGTGCCACTGCACTCCAACCTAGGTGACAGAGCCAGACTCCATCAAAAAAAAAAAAAAAAAGACATGCTTTACCAGAGCACCTACAACTCATCTTTCACAGGCTCACAGCAGCTGGAAAGAGGTCTGCTCCCAGTGGCAGCCAAGTAAAACCCCTCAGAGAAAGGACATCCATTTGTGTCATAAAGAAGCCAGTTGGAATGTGTCCATGTACAAGGGCAGGGAATGGCATTTTAGGTAGCAGCAATAGCAAGTGCAGGGGCTTAGAGGAGGGGGAGTGCTTGATGTTTTCAAAAACCCCAAGTAGACCAGTATGGCCAGAGGAGGGCTGAATAAAGAATCACATGCCACCACCACCACCACGACACACACACACACACACACAACAGATCTAGGACCTGAGACCTAGGCTGGAGTCTTGGTTCTGCCTCTGATTCCCTGAATGCATTGTCTTTCTTTAGAAGAGCCTTAGTTTCCCCATCCAGACAATGCGGATGCTGCACACAGACTAGGATATGGGTGCAGAAGCAGTAGAAAGTGCTCAGTGCCCATCTTCTCTCCTTCTCCTAAAGCAGGCCAGCCCTGGACTCATGCCCCCATGCTGGGTTGATGGGGAGTGGCTGGAACAGGGACATGGTAGGAAACCCAGTACTCATGACCAGTACTCAGCAATTCCAGAAAGTTTGAGGACCAGGGACAAAATGTCGGAGGCACTGAGGCTTGATAGGATGGCCCCGTCCAGACGGATTGCTGCCTGCCCTCACTGGGACCCAGAGGCTGATCCAGGGGAGAGCAAATCTGGGGACCAATTGCAGGACGGGTCGCAGATGCAACCCGTAGCTGGAACACAGAAGAATTCTAGATCTAGCTCTCCCACTGACTGGCTAGGTGACTTGCCAGGCCTCTGTGTCCTCTTCTGCAAAAAATGGAAGCTATGAGGAAAGAGAGGCCATGAATAGAGCACCACCCAAGAGCAGAGGACTGTTCCACTAGGGCCATCTCCTCCCGGAGCCCTCCTCTGGGTACTGACAGCATCTGGCTCCCTGCTGCTGCCACTTACTGATTACTAATGCTGTCTGCTTTCCTCCCTCCCACCTGACTCAGAAGGTCCACGAGGTGTGGTCTTCCCTCTGAGTCCATGCCTGTCCAGTCAACGTAATCTGACAGAGGGAGGGTCAGGTTGCCTCAGCCAACAGCTTCTCAAATGACGGTCCTCCTTGCCTGAGTCACACTTCAGCTTCCCAAGGGTGGCCAAGAGAGCTGGGAGCATCCTCCCGAACTCTGGGCTGGGATAGAATGGCCATTACTCTCAGGCCCTGGAGCTGCCCCCTAAACACACACACACACACACACACACACACACACACACACCACAAAGGCTGCTGGGAACCCACCTGAGCTCCTTAAGCCCACTCTCGAACATAGGCACCTCATATTCTTGGGCAGAAATGTGGCTTTGTTCCACACATCCACACTGGTCAGGCAGCCCGTGGGCTTATCTCCGTCTGTTGAGGGCACATCCAAACCCTCGGAAAACTGTCAAGACTGGGGCCTTTTAAAGGAGGACACTGTATGTACTCCTCTAAGGGTTTTAATGGCCATGTCCATACAGAAGGGCTGGGCCCAGGGAAAGGCCATTTGTTAAGCCTTGTGACACCCTTGCTACTGTTCTCAAACCTCCAATGGGTAGACCTGAGCAGCAAAGAGGAGGTTCATTGCTGCAGAGGCTGATGCTCTAGGAAGAGCTTCCTAAAGGTTGGAACTATCCAACAATGAAGAGGTTTTCCAGGAAGGACACTGACAGGTGTCCTGAGCCAAAAATGTTCTCTGCTCAAATAGGTGTGGGAACTGTCAAGCTGAAGAAAGGTTAACAGGTTTTGCACTGCAGGAGTTCTCAGGGCCTTTCCTGTGCTAGTGGGCACTGTGTGTTTCCAAGGGAAAGGAAGGACACTGTGTCTTCCAAATGTATTTGACCACAAAGTCCCTCCCCCAACATTCACAAAGTGGGGGTCTCTTGACAGTAGGGCCACACCTTCCAGCTACGTCTGTCCCTGGAGAAAGAGGGAAAGAGAACAGCTGCCCTAAGAATTCTACCTGAATGGAGTGAGACAGCCACATCTCCCTGGAGGCTGGAGGGTACAGGGACTACCTGGCAGGGGCTCTGGGCAGCCCTTCAAGGGGCCCAAGAGGCCATCTTCACAAGGAGGTAACTCAGCTTTTCCAGAAATGACTCCCATAGCCCCTTTACGGTTGTGAATTTAAGTTCCAAACAAGACTTGGCAGGGAAGACCCCATGCAGCCCAGCCCCTACTCCATCTAAGAACTGCCTTCCTTGGGTACCTGGAGAGAGAGAAGGGGCTCAGCCAAGGGCCTTAGGAATCCCTTTCCAAAAATGTATCGTTGTTGCCGTAGATCAGGTTTTTGAAACTGGGTTTCACGGGGCCTAGTTTGTAGACCCAGAAGCCTTTTAAGAAACTGTGCAAGGTGCTTGTGTCCGCTTTGGCCTGGCACCCTCACCACAAGCTGGGAAGTCCCCACAAGAATCCAAGTCACCTCCTGGTGCTTGCTCCTGCACCAGGAACTCTGGTGTGAACTCTGCCATCTCTCTCTCTGCTCTCAGGGCCAGTGTGCCACTCAGAACCGTTGGCTTATCTTCAGCTTCCAGAGCTGAGGTTCCAGGGGCACAATGGGCTTCTGTGCCCCCATGTCCTCACCCCCCCTCAAATCCCAGCTGCATTCATGGTGTTTTGCTATTGTGGTGGGAGCAGCCTGGGGGTGGTGCAGGAGGGGGTGGGCTCTTGGCACAGGGGTTGGCGCAGACAGGCCGTGGTCAGTGGTCAGCATGCAAGTCACATCCGCAGGCACTGCCACTGGGCCTGCCAGGCCTCGCACAGAATGGTGATGCTCCTGGGCCCCCTGGGTCCCTCCGTAGAGTCCCCTCCGGCCCACACACGACTTGCTTCCTCTCCGACCAGCCCCTTGGTGGCATTGGGGTGGGGGGTATTTTTTCTTGCCTTCTCAGCCAGTTGCTATTTTGGAGCCATATTAGGTCACCAGCTAAGCCCTGGGCGCAGGAAAGGCCTGTCCTCAGGAACACAGCTGAGGCTTTGAGAGGGTTTAGGAGGCAAAGTGGGTGGGGGGTGAGGATGAGTGAGCCTGAAGCCAAGAGAGCCTTCCGGAAGTCAGCAGGCACAGCCCTCCATCACCTCCGAGGAAGCCACTGGCCTGTGAACATCAGAGAAGCCCCTCTTGACTCCCCCAGCCCTCTCTTGTTTGAACAGGTCTCAAATACTATAGATATACCATCCTGGGGTGTAGCAGAGACTAAATTTAACAGATAGGTAAGCTAAGGCCCAGAGAGAGACGGGGTTCCCTGAAGTCAGGTTGTGAAAGACATTTCCCCACCACTGCACTATACAGTATAACCTTTTCCTGCTCCTTTCACACTGTGTGACTTTATGGGGAAACTGAGGTACGCAGCAATGAAGTGACAGAGGGCAGTTCTCACTGAGCTCCGGTTGGGATCCTGGATGCCAGAAATTTTCAAAAAGCAGCACAACATCCTATTCTTATAGGGTACTCTTGATGGTTCCAAACTCCCAGGTCCTCTCAGGGGAGACCCACAGGTGGGGAACAATGCCACCATGGTAGGGGGAGCAGAGGGAGGCTAGAAGAGGTTGATTAGGGGTCCACACTTGACCTGTGGGTCATGTTCACCCTTCTCCCAGGGTGAGAAACTCCCGTGGGGCTCCCACAAGCACCCCCATCAAATCACCCACCATTCATACCCTCTATCACCTTGTCTGTTTACTCATCCGTGGCCCCCACTAGCCTGTGGCTGTGAATCCCCGGGTCCTGCCCAGAGCTCAACAAATGTTTGGTAAGAGAACAAACAACTGAAAAGACGCATGCACCAAAGAAACACCCCACAAACGGTCCTCCAGTCACTGGTCACCTGAAGCCAATTCCCTGAAGAGGCAGAAAAGTCTCTTACAAGAAAGAAAGATCCCCAGCCAAGAACCATTCCTCACGTGGAGAGAATGCTTTACAGTTTACAAAGAGCTTTGGCATAGAAATGCTTTTGCCTGACACCAAAGGGTGCACTTTCAGACTCATCTTCCTCCTCTGCACCCAGCCCCCTCCCACGCCTGTTCTACCCACCCAGGTCAACAGGTCAGCCTGGGTAGTGTTGGCCTTGGGCCAGCATTTTATATGTCCATGCCTCCCCTAGTAAATAATGGCAGAGTTGAACTCAAGGGCGACCCTCTGCCTCCCTCTCTTACCCCCAGCACACCCTTGCGTACATAGGCTTTCCTCCCCAACCCATTCAGGACTCTGACTCTCCTAAAACTCACCGGTGTGCCCAGGTCTGGAAGGAAAGTGACCCCCATGTGTGTCCTCCCCCGAACACACCTCTTGCATCTTTGCAGAGAAAACCCCCACAAGGGGAGGAAGTGAAGGCCACAGATGGGTGTCTGAAATTCCCAAATGAGGCAGGAGTAAATGGAGGGAGGGGAGGAGTCCAGCCCACGGAAAGGAGTGGTATCTGGGCAGGCCCTGGAGACTCTTCAAAAAGGGCTGGGAGGTGGTGGCGATCTGTGTATTTATCTTGCTGGCAAAGAGGCGCTGCCCAGTCAACTTTGTAACTGAATCCACCAAACAGGCAGACTTTGCAACACAGCCGGCCCAGGTTTCTGCAGAAGGCGCTGGGCAGCTGGAACCTCTCCCCCCCCCTTTCTAGCCCCCCTCCCAAGAGCTCAAGAGGATTTCCCTTTCATTTCCTTCGAGGCTGGGAGGGCTGGGGACAGCGCAGTCTGTGGGGTCAAGCCCTCAGAAACCACTTCCTATGTGGCTGGGGGAGGGCGAGCAGCTGGAGGACGTATCTGGGGTCCCCGAGTGAGAACAGCAGGAGAAGCCCTCTGGGCAGTCACTGCTCTCCAGGGTGCCTTTCGGGTCGGGAACCGCAGAGGTCGGAGAAAAGATTTTAGGCCCTTCCAGAGGAGCTCCGAGCAGAATCTGCACTCTCGGTCCCAGCCCGCGGTGGCCAGGACGAGGATAAGGTTGGGCGTGAGAAGGACACTTCGAAGGGGCTCCCCGCCCAGGCCGCACCCCAGCTGTCTGAAGAAAATCCGGAGACAACCCCTCCTCAACTCCCTCCCCCAACCCCTTTGGAGCAGGGCTGCCCTGGCAGGGAGAGGGGGCGGGAGAGCTCCGCCCCGGCCTGCATTGCTCCAGCCCGGGCTCAGCCGGGAGGTGACGCGCACCCGGCACCCCGGGGACTTCGGGCGGCGAGTTTGGCAGAGTTGAACGAAGCCAAGCCAAGCCGGGCCCGGCAATGCGGAGCCGGGCCGCGCCAGGCCAGGAAGAGCGGGTCAGACAGGGAACGGCCCGCCACGGTGGGGCGGTGGGGCGGTGGGGCGGTGGGCGGGGGCGCGCGGGGGCACCCACCTCTCCGCGCTGCAGCTGGAAGAAGCTGTTGAGATAGCTGGAGTGCAGGGGCGAGCCCAGCTGCTCGGGGCGGCCCTTGCCGAAGGCCAGCTCCGGGGGTGCGGCGCCGGCGGTCGGCTCGGGCCGGAAGGCATCGAAGGCGCTAGCCTGGTGCGTGTCCTGCAGCGACAGGTAGACCCAGTTGAGCAGCTGGGCGGGCTGGTACACCGAGGCGGCGCTCGTGTCGATGGCCGACAGCAGGCTCATTTTGTGGCGGCGGTGCCGGCCCCTCCCCGGCCGCCCGCTCGCGGCCCCCCTCCGCAGCGGAGGGGCGGGCACCGGGGAGCCTGTGCCCACTGCCCGCCTCCCGAGCCCCGACGGTGATCGCCCCGCGCCCTGCGCCCCGCGCGCTGCCCGCAGCCGCTGCCGCTGCCGCCGCCTCCCCCCGACTGCGGCCCCGGCGCGCGCAGGCGGTGGAAGGAGGCAGCGAAAGTTGGGCAGGAAACTTTTGGCCCCGCCCCTCCGCCCCGCCCACTGCGTCCCGCCCCGCCCGGCGATCCGCTATCTGCCTCGCGGCTGACCCCTCCAGCGGCGGCTCCGGGGGTGGGGTCCACGATGCCCCGCCGCCCACTCCCTGCCCCGCCTGGCACTGTCCTCGCCCTGCATTGGCTGTCTCGTTGAATATGAACCGTCAGGGGTGGGGAGAGAGGGGAGTGAGGCTCATCTGCATATGCAGCACGGCGCGGGCCCGCCCATGCGAGGCCCCGCCCAAGCCCCACCTCGTCCCAGCCCGGCCAACCCAGCTCCCCGAGCTGCCGGGAGCTCAGTGCAGCCCCGGCCTAATCAATTTCGTCTCCCTCTGTCGTCAGCGCTCTTGTCTCGTTCTTTCCAAATCCTCTGCAATTGTTTTTCACTCACTTTTCCTTTCCTATTTTCCCTCCTTTCTCATACTCCTTCTTTCTCTCTCTCTTAGACTAGTACTAGTCTCCTGTGTCCGTCGTCCTTGTATGTGGCGCCCTCCGTGTGTGTGTGTGTGTGTGTGTGTGTGTGTATGTCCTTCTCTTTCTCTCACTCTTCTTGTCTCCTTTCTTCTATTTCCGTCTGGTCTGATGTTTCTCCCTGTCTCTCCCGCTCCTCTCTCAGACGCGTGTACACAGACGCACACACTTCTAACTCCCTCCTCTCGCTATCACCATCGGACCCTCCCCCTCCTACTTAATTCCTTCCATCTGCAGAATCACTTTGCGGGCCGGCTGCGCCAAGGGGGGCCCGGGTTCCTGCCCCAGGAAAGACTCCCCGCCCCCTCCCCCCCCCCTTCTCCTATTTCTGCTCTGGGCCCGCCTCGCTTCTCGACCCTCTTCCTCCACCCCGGCTCCAGCCCTAGCCCGCCCCGGTGCCTTGGCGAGTCGCCAGGACACCAGCCTGGGCCGGGGGAGCTCGGGAAAGCGGCTGTCACCCATCTCGCTGGGACAACTCAGCTAGTCCAAGACTGCCTGGAGGGAGCCCCGCCCCCGCCTCCGCCTCCGCCTGACGCCCCAGGAAGCCCCGGGGCCTTCACCGTCTCTTTCTCCGGGTGGTCTTTGCTGCGCCAGCACCGGGGACCTAGCCCAGAGGAACTCACCGCCTGGCTGGGACCGAGTCACCTCTCCCACTTTCAGTCTGGCTCTGGAGCCATTCCGCCCAGCGTTGGAGTGCCAGCTTGGCCACCGTCCAGCGGAATGACCTCTGCATGACGCCTAACCTCTGCGAGCAAGCCTGTTTTCTCCTCTGTAAAATGGGAGCAGTCATCCTCCCGCCGCCGGGGACATTTGTGTGCTTCCCAGCTTGGGTTTGGTAAGCGGAAGATATTCCATAAAGGACAGCTCTTCCCCGCCACCCACTCCACGAGTTACTCACATCACCTGCAGGGCACCTAACCACATCTATGGTCGCTCGCACCACGAAGGCCTTCAGTGATGACCAAATGCCACCCTTTTTCACCAACCAAGAGGCCCTTGGATCTCAGATCTCCATCTTGTCTATCAATTTGCAGTTATTAATACAAACGACAGCATATGTATCAATCATGTCTTCATATTTTCATTCATCAAGAACACATCTATACAGTACCCTTTATATTTTTAAACAGTATTAAACCTATTTGTTTAAAGAGTAGGTACACGGTTCTTGCAAATGGCTCACCTGTAATCCCAGCACTTTGGGAGGCCAAGGCAGACAGACTGCTTGAGCCCAGGAGTTCCAGACAAGCCCTGGAAACATGGCAAAACCTCATCTCTACAAAAAAATGCAAAAATTAGCCGGGCGTAGTGGCGCATGCCTGTGGTCCCAGTTACTCAGGAGGCTGAGGTGGAAGGATCACTTGAGCCCAGGAGGTGGAAGCTGCAGTGAGTCGAGATCATGCCACTGCACTCCAGCCTGGGCAACAGAGTGAAACTTTGTACCCCCCGCCCCCACACCAAAAGAAATAGTTGGGATTATCTCTGGAACTCTGCTGCTGTCTTTGAGCTTCCAAGGATGGAGGTAGGATTTGGAACCACTGATAAGACCTTCCCTAGATTTTATAGAGAAAACTGCTGTTCAGGGAGGGGACATAACTAGGAATCTGACACCTGCTTAGAGAAACCTCTGATCCTTCCCTGTGTCCTTCAGAGTGATTTGATGCCAAGAAGGTGTTTATCATGCCTGGTGACCACATTGATGGCCTCTGCCTCTTTCTCCCCAACATAGTTTCTACCCAGAGCCTGGAGCATAGATAGTAAATAATCAGGAAATAGTTGCTGGGTTGATGATTGAATGAATAGGTGGAGAGACGCATGGATGCCCAGATTTTGCTCCTCTTTGAAGCCTGAGCGGCTTCTTTGGTTTTGTACTTTTCTCCCTCTCCTTGCCCACAGGACAGCTGCTCAACATGTGGGCTCTGTACCCAGTAGGTGACTAATAAATATGAGCATCCTATAGGCAGTTTGCCTGGATGGCAACTGATTGACCTAAGGTCAGCCCTCAGCCAGCTGCTGGGAATGCATGCTCCAGGATCCCCTGAAACAACATGTACGGTGGGAGAGGGTAATAGGTGAGAGTGACCAGATGGGTATCAGAGGCCTAGGTACCAGGCCAGAAGACCGGGCCACGCCCAAACTCTGCACCTTCTTGCCCTATCATGTGCACACTAAGGAACTCTGCATTTAAAATGTCAGAGGTTCCAAGCCCTCACTTTACAAAGGAGGAGGTACCATGGCCCAGAGAAGGAAAAGAACCATCCCAGGGTCTCTCAGTAAACCTGATAGCTAAGCCACCTGCTCCTAACCCACTACTACCTCCCAGCTCTCTCTTCATTGATCCCAGTGTGGCAGCATTCAGGTGTGGCAGCTCTGGCCCCATATACTGTCCTCAGACTGGAAGGCAGGAGGGAGCACCCAGGTGAGGCTCACATCCCTGTCCCCTTCCCTGTCCAGTGGCTCCAGCCATCCCACAGTCTCCAGAATGGGTCAGTGGAATGAACACAAGATTTGGAGGAAAGACCTGGCCCAGTGACCTTGGGTAGGCCTGCCCTCTCTGTAAACCTCAGTTTTTCCAGGTATCAGATGGGAATGTTGATCCCATCCTTACCAACTTCTACAGTGACTGACAGGATCCAAGGAGGATGCAAAGAGGAAGGAGCTTTGCTGTTCCCTGAGTGAGTAGGCAGTCATGCGTGACGGGAGGGTGATATTGATACTTGCAGTAACAGTAATATTCAATTTATCTGGAGAAATGTGGGCAGGAGGGGACAAGTAGGAAAAAGTCTGCTCCTAAAGTTGCCCAGGTAACAGGTCTGATAAGTGTTTGGTGGAGTATCAAACCAAGAGCCTTGAGCTCAGAGAAGCAGGAGAAACCTGGGCAAGAAGAGGAAGCAGTTGGTCTTTATGAGGGAGTCAGCCTTCAAATTCAGCCCAGGAGGCAAGCAGAGATGAGCAGGGGCAGAAGATGGGGCTTCACAATCCTGTGCAAATTGATGCTTCTCATTTCTGTAAAAAACGCCCCATGGTGATTTATCAGGTGAAGGAACCCCTAACCCTCTTCAAACCACCCACACTCCATGTGTCAGGAATAAATAGCAAAGCACACACTGACAAAGCTAAGATTTGCCTCTCCTTTAGGCCAGGGCTGGGCATTGGGTTCCTTTGGACTGTGTGTTGACACAGAAGGTGTCAGTTTACAGCAGAGATGGCAAAATGGCAAATACTCTCCTTACAGGCACCACTGCCCCATCCCCCACCCAGGACAGACCTCTCTGAGTGCGGATCCCCTTCCCAGGCAAGACTTCAGGTTCCTGCTCAATACAGCACCCCACGTCACCACTAATGAGATGCTGGAATTGGCCCTGAAGACGCAAATTATTTGCCATGTTAACTTTATATCCACCTTCCCAGGCTGCTCTCTAAACCCTATGGTGACTGTGCAGAATTATTAGGTTGGTGCAAAAGTAATTGCTCTTTTTGCCATAGAACCAACCCAGTGAGCTAAAATCCAGGTTTCAAGGCACCTTTACACACACACATACACACACACACACACACACTCTCTCTCTCAAGTCACCTTTACATACACACACACACACACACACACACACAGAGTACCTCCTCCTTCCATGGATGCAGCCCTGCTGTTTACACTAACCAGATTTCAGCCCCAACTAGCCCCCAACTTCTTTGTGCAGTGCACAGATGGCAAAACCATAAGGGCAGTCTGACCACTCCAGGCCCCACCCACAGGCTCTTGAGTAGCCTTTAAGTTTATCTTGAGCAGCAAAGGGTGGGTAGGTCCTTGAATCTTAAACTCAGCCTACCGCTCCTTGCAGGTTCCAAGGTGTGGAAAGTGCCTGGGGCTTTGGAGACTGTCACTTCCTGGGCTGTGTGACACTGACAAGTTGAGTCTCCTCCCCTGGACCATTTCCTAGTGTATAAAATCTTCCCACTGCTGTTGGAATCCCAGATGACACGGGGAGGCAGGAGACACTTTGAGGGCCCTGGCCTCTAGAAGCCCTAAGAGAATGCCTGCTTGGTTTCATGGCTGGACAGTATGACATGGGCATGAGGGGTCCCAGCCTGGGTGTGAGGAGCCTAGGGTTTGTGTGTGGTCTGGGAAAACTGGCAGAACACCCTGGACCTAGAAGTCACTGGAGCAGGCCTAGTGGGCTTCCTGCTCCCTGAGGAACCATCCTCAGAAAAGTGGTGTCTAATGTCATATAGGAGCTACGGGCAGCAATCACATAGTAGCCCCCTCTTATCCATGGGGAATACATTCCAAGACTCCCAGTGGATGCCTGAAATCGCAGGTAGTTCTGAAACACACACACACACACACACACACACACACGTGCGCACACACGCGCACAATGTTTTGTCCTATACATACATACATACCCACGATAAAATTGAAATTATAAATTAGGTACATTAAGAGATTAACAGGTCGGGTGTGGTGGCTCATGCCTGTAATCCCAGCACTTTGGGAGGCTGAGGCAGGAAGATCACTTGAGGCCAGCAGTTCAAGACCAGCCTGGCAACATGGTGAAACCACCCTCTCTACAAAAAGTACAAAAAAGTACAAAAAAGTAGCCAGGCATGGTATTGTGCATCTATAGTCCCAGCTACTCAGAAGGCTGAGGTGGGAGGATCGCTTGAGCCTAGGAGGAGGAGGTTGCAGTGAGTTGAGATTGCCCCACTGTGCTCCAGCCTGGGTGACACAACGAGACTCCATCTAAAAAAAAGTAGTGGCAGAGATTAACAATAATAAAATAGAACAATTAAAATAATATACTGTAATAAAAGTTATGTGAATGTGTTCTCTCTCTCTAAAGGTTTTTTTGTACTGTATCACCCTTCTTATGATGATGATGTGAGATGTTAAAGTGCCTGCTTGATGAGGTGAAGTGAGGTGAGTGATATGGGCATTATGATGTTGCATTAGGCCGCTCTTGACCTTCTGACAACATGTCAGAAGGAGGCTCATCTGCTTCTGGTGATACTAGACCATCGAGCCCTATTGAGGTCAATGACTGGATGTCAGGAGTGGACAATGTTTATAAGCAGGCAGCGTCCACAGCGTGGATCACTGGACAAAGGGATGATTCACGTCCCGGGTGGAACGGTACAAAATTTCATCACGCTACTCAGAATGGCGCGCAATTTCAAATTCCTGAATTGTATATTTCTGGAATTTTCCATTTAATATTTTTGGACTGCAGTTGACTGCAGAGAACTGAAACCATGGAAAGCAAAACTACGGATAAGGGGGAACTACTGTACATTTTATCAGTAGCCTCTTAGCAAACCTCAACCTGCGGAGAGACCCCAGGCCTCCAGGGGTAACTGGTCACTCCACATGATGCCTAGTGGGTCGCAGCCAGTGATCAAAATGTGAGCTTGTCCTCTTGTGGGTGATGAGGAGAATGGCTCTGGAATTTCTATGTATTTAGGTTAGTGGGATATCTGTTTGGGAGATGGGATTAAGACACTCGCTGTAAGTTGAATGTGCAAAGTTCTCTACATTATTCTGAGAAAAGCCTTGCTTACATCAAAGAATAGAAGGAAAGTTGGCTAATGGAGACTTTGGTAGGGCCTGAAACTGCCACTCCAGTCATCCCTTAGCCTTCCTTGCCTACTTGGAATCTTTCCATGGTGGCCCACTGGATGAAATCCAAACACCTACTGGGCAAAACATTCATGGCCTTTCAGCATCTGACTCCTGATCACCCTTCTACCCTAATGGCAAGTACAACCTACCCCCATAACCCTTACACCATGTGTACCCCACCTTCGGCAAAATGAAATAACTGGCCTTTCCCATGCGTGCAAGGCCTTCCTTGCCTCCATGCCTTTGCACTTGCTGTTCCCCTACTGGGAAGAGCCCCTTCTTTTAGTCTTCCTGGCAGTCTCCTCTCACACTTAGAGACCCAGCTGAAAAACTGACTTTCTGAAAGAAGCCTTTTGTGATCACAACCTCCTCCCCCATCACACACACCCATTAGATATTCTCTCTTTTATCTTTGACTATGGGGCGTTCACACGATATGATGACATTTGTAAAATGGTCAGTCCTCCCTTCTCCTCCATTCCCACCAGCACTCACCCCCGGACTATGAGCTTTTTAAGGAGTGATAAGCTCCTTGGCCTAACCCAGTGCTGGATCAGAGCAGGCCCTCTGTTTACTTAAGGAATGAATGAATAAACTCAGAAAGCCTTTGTGGATTGTAGACTCAGAAACAGGAGACTGTCGAATCTGGGCTGGAACATCCCGGAGACTGTGAGGATTACAGACACGCAGGGAGCTCGGGCAGGGAGGGTCGGTGTTCCCTGAGCAGGCAAGTCCTCTTCCCTTCTCACTCAGCTTCCCTTGCAGTGGGGTGGGGGCTGTGCATTCTCAGCAAGAAGGTGAGTAGGAACAGCGTGACTCTTGGGAGTTGGCAAGAGTGGGTGTGGGTTCTCCACGCTTTCTCTCTCCCATCCATGAGGTGAAAGACTCTAAGACAGAAGAGTCCGGATCTCTAAATCAGTGTTGTAGGTGAGCTGACCAGGGTGGTCTCCCAGACTGTGATGTGTACAGCCCCTGAGATGGGGAGGCTTATCTGTTACTGCAGCAGGGCCTGCTCTATCTCAGCTAATAAAGGAGTTCAAAGATGACCTGATCCCAAAACCTAATTTTAGTGATGTGAAAACTGAGGCCTGAAAGGGGAAAGCACATGACTTCTGGTTCTGTGATTTTCAGTTGTCCCCCTGAAAACCAGACAGTGGCACCAGCCAAGTCTGATTCTCAATGCCAGCCTTCTTCTTCCCCCCAGCCCAGGGGCACAGAAGGGAGTTAACCATAATCCTTCTTCATAATATTATGTTTTATTTAATTGTTTGCTTATAGTCCCTGTACAAACCAGCCACCATAAAAATGAGAACCCTGACAATAACTTATATCTACATATGAGATCTATCCCTAGCCCATCTCCTAGGTTCCTCCAACCTGACATAATCACCATCTGGAATCACTCCCTTGCTTTCATATTTATTTAATTGTATCTAATCTGTATGCATTCTAAAAATAGATATTTTTAATTTGTTCTTTAACTTTCTTAAAAGAGTATCATGCTGTATAGAATCTTTATGACTTACTTATTTCACTTAATTTTGTACTGCTATTTTTTTTTTTTTAATTAGAGACAGGATCTTGCCCAGGCTGGAGTGCAGTGGCTATTCACAAGTGCAATCGTAGTGCACTACAGTCTTGGACTCCTGGCCTCAAGCAATCCCACCTGTTTCCTGAGTAGCTGGACTATAGGTATGTACCTCCATACCTGGCCATACTACTAAATTTTAGTCACATTGAGGTATGCCGCTGTAATTCATTCATTGGTTCATTTAGATTTAGATTCCTGTATTCCATCCGTTGTGTGACTCAACCACAGTTTATTCAACTATTCTCCTGTTGATGGTTCTTGCAACTGTGAACACTGCTGCTATGACTCTTCCTGACCTACATTTGCAACAATATCTGTTCAGTGTATGTGCTACATTGTAGAATATATGCATGTTCACCTTTCCAAGATACTACTAATGTTCTCTAGTAATGCATAAGAAATCCTATAGGTTCACACTCTCTGCAACACTTGATCTCCCACTTTTTTATTTTATGAAATGTGTGTGCAGTTGGTTCTTTTGCCATTTTAACAGGTTCCCTGACCTCCCTGGACCTCAGTTTCCAAATCTGCTGATGGAGGATGATGTTTTCAGTGCCTACACAGCTCCCAAAGTGAAGATGATATGGAAACTGGGTGGTGTCGAGGACGGTCACACAGAGCCAAGGAGCAGAAATGCTTGCCCTGCTTCTGCCATGGTCTTCACAGTGAGAGACAGGCAGCTATGCCCCTGAATTCTCCAGGACCTGCCAAGTTGGGCCATTTCAGAGAGGAGAAACTGAGACTCGGAGCTATGTAATCAGCATACTGGAGCATAGAAAGCAGAGACAGGCAGAAGGCAAGAACTCAGAGATGGGAAAGGAATCCTGACCCACCCAGATTGGCAAAGCCATTGCAGACCCATGGTTCTGGGGTTTTCCTGTTGGCTCGCAAAGTGATATCAAGTCAGAGGTATTGTTTTCCCTTGTCTCTGCCATTGATAAGACAGAGAAAAACAGCTCCCATGATAACATTGATGCTGCCAGCCCTTCCTGCTACTGGCTTTCCTGGTTGGAGTCCTCTCCTATGCTCCTTCCTCTCTCTCCTTCCGGACTGAGATTCAAGCCGAGATGCCTTGTGGGGCAAAGGAGCCGGCGGTGAGGTTCCCTCCTTCAGTTGCTTCAGCAGGCACATAGCTCCTTCTGATCTTGGACAAAGCCCAAAAGGCTCTGAGGCAGTGGTGTGCTGGGGCAGGCTCATACTGACTCATTAGAGCCAATTGCTAAATTTCGGGGAATCTTGTAAGCCAATTGTTAAACACAGTCATTATTAAAAATTAGATGATATGAGATTGCAACTAAATAATTTATACTTTTTTAAAAGTAATAAACACTCCTAACTCATCATGTCCTATTTACTTTATTGCATTTTACTGTTAACTATCCTCTGGAGGTAATTTACATATTGTATTTACATGGTGGAAATACCATATACTTGTGTACTATTGTTCATCTTTTCTCAATTTGCACTTGAAACTGGTAGTTTTTATGCCATAGAAATCAGCGAACACTGCAAATCAAGGATGTTTTATTTTTTAGAGAGCTGGTGGTTAAAGATTTACCAAGACACCACTGCTGCAGGTACTTTCCCTGAGATACCACTCTGAGGACCCTGTGGTCCCAAGGCCACACAGTGATCCGCAGATAGGGAGTACCAGGATGACTGCCCACATCTTCAGTGGCCTCCACCACAATGCGCACTTGTCCTCTGAGGCACTTTGCTGCCATAAGTCTGTGTCACAGACAGGCTAGATATGCCGAACACTGTTTCCATTTCTTTCTCTATTTTAAAATATATTATTTTACAATGGCTGTATATGATCACTGTCAAACATTTAAGCTATCTAATCCCATCAGTGAGTGAGAACCTGTGTTAATTTTGTAATATACATAATTCTTGTCTTTTATCTATGCATAGACATGTTTTTAACTTTTACTGTAAAAATGGATCAGAAGCTGCTTTTTCTGATTTGAATCCTACTTTTGTGTTTCAACTCTGCAATATAATGTGAACATCTTTCCAAGTCAAAATTCATAAAAAAAGATTCATTCTACTCCAAGAGATTGAGTACCTCTTTCCCTGACAGACCGATAACATTTCGTCATCAGGCAGACTTGGTTCACATCTCAGCTCATGTATTTGCTATGCAACTGAAGACAAGGAAAGTAACCTTTCTGTGCTTCTTCTGTAAAACATAGACAACGATAGCACCTATTTCATAGCATTATCCTGAGAATTAAATGAATATGTGTAATGCTTTTAACACTGCCTGGTACAGAGTAAGCCCTGAGTAGATGTTAACTAAGTTTTCTATTTTCCTTAACATTTCACTATGGGTTTTTTCTCTACCTGCTATGTACTTATCTCCAGCTGACTCTAAGACTAGAGCAGGAAAAATTAAAATGGGTGAGATTGCATTGAAATGGACACAGCCCAAACAGAACTCTCAATTACCTGCAAATCAGCTCCTTTCCCCAGGCAAATCCATGTCAGTAATCAACACCGCTGTTCCCCCAGCGACCCAAACCAAAAACAAAGTCATCACTAATTCCTCCTTCTTGTTCATCTAATTCATTAATAAGTCCTGCACATTCTGCTTCTAAAACACAGAGTGCCCACCGGCCTTTGCCCCCACCACCAACATCCTGCTCCAATCTGCTATCTGCTTGTGCCTGAGTTTGTGCAATATCCTCCTCATTGAGCTTCCTGCCTCTTCTCTTGCCTACCCCCACGACCCCCACAATGTATTTTATACCCAACAGCGAGAATAGTATCTTTAAAGCAGTGCAGTCTGTAGGTTTGACTGATTAGTGGGTTGTGAAATCAACTTAATGGGTCATGATCAGATTTTTATTTGAATTAAATGGAAGAATTGAGTCTATCAGAATACATCACACAAGTATTGTTTGTGATACTTTTGTGTCATTTAAAAAAAGACATTCACTTGTATACATATTTAGTATGCCTGATCATGACATACGATGTATTTCTTAAGCCAGAGGCCCCAGCCCCTAGGCCACAGACCAGTACCGATCCATAGCTTGTTAGCAACTGGGCTGCACAGCAAGAAGTGAATGGCAGGAGAGCAAGCAAAGCTTCATCTGTATTTACAGCGGCTCCCCATCACTCTCATTACTGCTGAGCTCTGCCTCCTGTCATATCAGTGGCAGCATTAGATTCTCATAGTAGCACAAACTGTCTTGTGAACTGCACATGCAAGGGATCTAGGTTGCAGTATTCTTACGAGAATCTAATGCCTGATGATCTGTCACTGTCTCCTATCACCCCCATGTTAGGAATATATGAATTAAAAAATAAGAGATTGATCAGATTATTTGAAGAAAAACCTCATCATATCCCACACCCAGATGGGACCGTCTAATAGCAAAAAAAAAAAAACAACAACAAAAAACAAGCTCAGGACTCCCGCTGATTCTACATTATGGTGAGTTCTATAATTATTTCATTATATTTTACAATGTAATAGTAACAGAAATAAAGTATACAATAAATGTAATAATGTGCTTGAATCATCCCAAAACCATCCCAAAACCCATCACCCGTGCTGTCCCTGGAAAAACTGTCTTCCATGAAATCGGTCCTTGGTGCCAAAAAGGTTGGGGGCTGCTTTTGTTTTGTTATTTTATTTTATTTTGTTGTATTTTATTTTTGCTGTTTTTTTTTTTTATTTTTTTTTTCCTAGATGGAGTCTTGTTCTGTAGCCCAGGCTGAAGTGCAGTGGTGTGATCTCAGCTCACTGCAACCTCCATCTCCCGAGTTCAAGCGATTCTCCTGCCTCAGCCTCCTGAGTAGCTGGGACTACAGGTGCATGCCACCACACCTGGCTAATTTCTGTGTTTTTAGTAGAGACGGGATTTTACCATATTGGCCAGGCTGGTCTTGAACTCCTGACCTCAAGTGATCTGCCCGCCTCGGCCCCCCAAAGTGCTGGAATTACAGGCGTGAGCCACTGAGCCTGATCTATTTTTGCTGTTTTTTATTTCATTTAATTATCCTATAGCAATGATCTACCAAGCTTCTGCGTTCTGGTGAAGGCTAATGATTTACTAGCTGACCTAAGCTTTGGTCATTTCTCTTCTCCCTGCCTCTCCCTCCTTCCACAGTGATGACTCCCCTCTCCTTGCACCCTGCCTACCACTTTGTTAGTGAGAAGGCCAATCTTGCTGATCCCGTGCCAGGGCGCAGTCTTGTCATCATGCTCCATGGGGCCTGCTGGGTGGGCTCCAGGGTTTGCACCTTCACCCACCATGCATGAACAGGCGTCCTTCCCTAAGGCCCCTTCCTTGGTGGGCTTTGACTCTAGAAGCTCAGCAAATCTCTCCTGGAACCTTTGAGTATAGGAGTCTATGCTGTGCCTACTTCCCAGAGCTGGATGAGGATCTAATTCAAATAGAGGATGTGGACTTTCATTATTGGCTCTGAGGCTCTATCTGTTCACCTGCAAGTGACATGGCCATGAGCAGAAAGCCATTCTAGGGGGAATGGAGATGGTTAATTGGTACAAAAATATAGTTAGAATGAATAAAATCTAGAATTTGACAGAACAACAGAGTGATGACAGTCAACAATCATTTATTGCACTTTTAAAAATAACTAAAAGAACATAATTGGAAGGTTTGTAACACGAAGAAATGATAAACGCTTGAGGGGATAGATATCCTTTTCACCCTGATGTGATAATTATGCATTATATGCCTGTATCAAAATATCTCATGTACCTGACAAATGTAAACACCAATTACGAACTCATAAAAATAAAACATTAAAAAAAAATAAAGCCATTCAAGTCTTCTCTCAGCTACACCTGAGCATAGCTGAGAGCACCTGAGCCTGTCCCTGCCCTCCCAGCCTCCGAGGCTACTAACAAGGCTCTCTGATTTATTCAGCCATTCTGGCCTGCCCCCTTTCTTTTTGGATTGCCAGATTTAGCAAAACAACAACAACAAATCAAAAACAAGGATGCCCAGCTAAATTTGAATTTCAGATAAACAACGGATAACTTTTTTTGGTAGAAATGTGTCCCATGCAATATTTGGGAGATTCTTATACAAAAAAATGTTATTTGTTGTTTATCTGAAATTACATTTTAACTGGGTGTCCTGTATTTTGTCTGGCAGCTCTGCTTCTGGAGTTTCCTCAGTTTGCCTTGGGTCATCACCTAAACTATCCTCCGCCTTGGTTTCAGTTTCTGAAAATGGGAAGCACAGTAGATAACGCTCAAGAAAGTTAGGAGGCTAGGAAAAATAAAAGTGCTTGGGAAAGTAGGAAAAAGTGTGACACATGCATGAGGTTGAGCAACTCTCATTCTGCAGATTAACAACCTCCAGGAGATGTGGAGATGGGACCTCTGTCCTCCACCTGCCCCAGCAAAGCTTCCCACCAAAGCTCCCCCACCCTCTTGTAGAATCCCTGCTTGGCCAGCCTCTTGCCATTGGCCACGCCACTTCCCACACTCTGCACTCAACTGCCTGCAAGCCCCGTCAGTCCCTTATAGTTTTACACGAGGGCACTGTCATTTTCTCCACCTTGAGGCTTGCAATCAGCCCGAATGGCTAAGCATTAGGATTACCATATGTCTTGGTTTGCTCAGGACAGTCCAGACTCATGCCTGTTATTCTGGGGTGAATGATCAATTAATAATGCTTCCTTTCACTTTCAAAAGTGGACAATAAATTATATGATGACTTATCACCATTTTGCCCTCTTCGTTCCTTAACTACCTCATCTCTAGGGACTGTTACTTCCACTGTACTCCAGTCCTCAAAGTACTCCTGGCCACACGCAGAACCGCCCCACCTCTGACACTGAAAAATGCAAACATATCTCTTTGATCATAACTCCAGTCCTTCCAACTCCTCTTACTTCTATTTAAAAATAATTATTTTTCTTATTTACCCTACATGTCTTGGTACATTTTGTCAATTTCTTTTGTCAGCATCCCATTAGTCCCATTGGCCTGGGCTAGAGGAGCCACCCCACTTGCCTGGAAAATGTCCAGTGTAGATTCATCCGTTCTCTGCCTTCTCCATACTGGCCTTGGCTGTCAAGGGCTGCTGGAGAACCTTGCACAATCACACAGGCTGGGGGCATTAAATTATCAGTCTCCAGCTTCCACTGGCTCTCAGCAGAGTTCAGCAAGCCTCCAGCTCTCTCTTCATGCTTCTCAAAGGCTATTTCAAACCTTTTTCCCTTTTTTGTTTTTTTTCCAGTTTTCTATCCCACTATCTTTTCATCCATCTGGGCAGGTGACTTTGTCTTTCATATCAGAGACTAAACAGAAGCCATTGAATGGATGGTTTCTCAACATTCTGCCACAAACCTTTCCACTTACCTGTATCAGGATCCATTTTGGGGGACCTCCTCTGTGTTTGGGAATGCTTTCTTCCCTGTCATTCATCCCATATCTTCAACCCTCCCCTCTTTCCTGTCCCCTCATAAGCAATGGAGCATCCCTGGATCTCTACCAGCTAAGGAAAATCCTTCCACTTCTCTAGCTACTCTTTCTGTCACTTCACAACCAAACTTGTATGAGTTTTCTACACTTGCTGTTTTCCCATCTCAGCCACTCACTCATCCCCAAATCTTCTGGACCTCACTCCTACTCCTACCACTCCACTGAGAATGCTTTGAGGAAAGTCAAGATTGCCCCCTCTGATGTTAAATTTCCCAGTTCACTGGCCACACCAGCTCTGACCTGAGCAGTATTTGACACTGCTGTTCACTCAGCCTGGAACTGCCTTGGCCTCTGATACAGTTTGAATGTTTGTCCCCTCCAAATTGCATGTTGAAATATAATCCCCAATGTTGGAGGCAGGGCCTGGGGCAAGGTGTTTGGATCATGGGAGTGAATCCCTTATAAATGGCTGTGTCCCATCCTTGTGGTAATGAGTGAGTTCTCATTATGTGAGATCTCATGTTTTAAAAGAGCCTAGCACCTTCCCCCATCTCTTGCTCCCTCTTGTTCTCTCTCTTGCCGTGTGACACACTGGCTCCCATTTGCCTTCTGCCACAATTATGAGCTTCCTGAGTCTCCACCAGAAGCAGATGCTGGCCCTATGCTTCACGTACAGCCTGCAGAACTGTGAGTCAAATAAACCTCTTTTCTTTACAAATTACCCAGTCCCTAGTGTTACTTTATAGCAATGCAAACAGACTAACACAGTTCCTCCTCTCTGACCACTGCCTGGCAATATCCTTTGCAGGCCTTGTTCTTCCAAGCCTTAAATGTTGGTTCTTCAGGATACTGAAATCTCTCAGAGGTACCTTATCCAGTTTCATTGTTCCAATGACCTTTGCGTTGGTGAATCCTGTATTGGTGTTCTGTAGCTGCTATAACAAATGGAAACCAAGGTGTCGGCAGGGCTGCCCAGCAGAAGCTCCACAGGAGAATCCATTCCTTGTCCCTTCTAGCTTCTTGGTGGCTGTTGACATTCCTTGACATGCAAGCTTGTGACCTCATCAGTCTGCCTCTGTGGCCACGTCACCTCTTCCTCTGTATGTCTGTTCTCTTTTGCGTATCTTTTAAAAGGACATTTGTCATTGGGTTTAGGGCCCACCCAGATAATCCAGGATGATCTCACCTTAAGAGCCTTAACTTAATTATATGTGCAAAGAAGCTTTCCAGGGATTTGAGGACAGACAGAGAGGTTCCAGGAATTTGATGTGGATATCTTTTGAAGGGGCCTACTACAACTCCCCTATCAATTATAAATAGGTCCATTTGCATATCGGAGAAAACCTCAAACTCATTATATCTTAAACAATACAGAAGTTTTTTTCTAATATAAAAACAACCTGGAAATAGGCCTCTAGTGCCAGTGTGAAAGTTCCATGTGTCATCAGGGGCCCTATTTCTAAGCTTCTCTTCTTTCTCTTCTTTCTTTCTCTTATTTCTCTTTCTCTCTCTTTCTTTCTTCCTCTCTCTTTCTTTCTCTCTCTCTCTCTTTCTCACTCTGTCACCCAGGCTGGATTGCAGTAGCATAATCACGGCTCACAAGCCTGGACTTCCTGGGCTCAGGTGATTCTCCCACCTCAGCCTCCTGAGTAGCTGGGACAACAGGCATTTGTCTGACCAACATGTCTGACAGCTATGTCTGACTAATTTTTAGTACTATTGATAGAGATGGGTTTTGCCATGTTGCTCAGGCTGGTCTGAAACTCCTGGCTCAAGAAATCCACCTGCCTCAGCCATGTAAAGCGCTGGGGGATTACAGGTGTGAGCCACCATGCCCGGCCCTAAGTTCCAAGCTTTCTGCTCCATATCGTATGCACTAGTTTGTCCTTAATGTCACTTCATGGTCCAAGATGGCGTTGGAGCTCCAGCCATTATGTCTAGGATAGCTTGGAGGCCAGAACATAGTCACATGGCCATACCTAATTGCAAGGGAATATGGGAGATGTAGACTTTTGTTCCAGGTCAAATATATCCATCTAACAACCAGGGTTCTTATTCTAATAGGAAAGGAAGAATGATGTTGAGACCGATAATGCACATTTCTATAATTAACAGCTTCTGAGTTCAAAATATATGCTGTTAAGTGTGATCTGTGGGAGAGTAGAAGGTGACAAGATTTAGAGAGGAAATGGGGGCACATGTAGAGCCTTTTGGGTCACTGTAAAGATCATGGCTTTTATTGAGAGGGAGAGGGAGAGGGGGAGGCATTGGAGGATTCAGAGTAGAGTGACAGGATCTGACTTACACTAGAAGCAAGTGAGTGTGAAAGTATGGATACTTTTGGAAGCTACTGTGGTAGTCCAGGCAAGAGATGATGGTGCCTGAAAACAGCTAGGTAGCTGGTGAGGTGGTGAGAAATGGTTGGATTCGGGATATGTTCTAGAAGTAGAGCTGACAGGATTTCCTGACAGATTTCTCATAGCGCATGAGAGATAACACCAATGTTTTTTAAAGCTAAGCATCTGGAAGAATAGACTTGTCATTAACTGAAGTGGGGAAGATGGACTGCCAGAGAGCAAGTCTGTAGGGAAGATTAGGCGTTCAGTCTTGGATACGGCTCCTTTGAGATACTGTTAGACATCCTAACTGAGATATCAAGTAGGCAATTAGATACAAAAATTCAAGAGAGAGTTCTGGGCTAGAGCTAGGAGTCATTAACAGATAGATGGTCTTTAAATCCCTGGGACAGGATGAGATTACTCGTGGAGTGAGCATAGGTAGAAAATACACGTTAAGAACTGAGTAGTAGTGAACGCCAGTATTTAGGACTTAGAGAGATAAGGGTGAACCAGCAAAAGAGCCTGAGAAGAAACAGATTGAGGACTTTGAGAGAGACCAGGCAAAGGAAGTGTCCTGGAGACTAAGAGATGAAGGTATCTCAGGAGGAGGGAGCCATCCACTGTGACAAATGCTGTTGAAGGGTTAGGAAAGATGAGGACCAGGAATAGACTCTTGGATTCAGCATCATGGATATCACAAGGGACCTTGAAGAAAGCAGTTTGGGAGGAGTGAGGGAGGCAAAACTGTGACTGGAGTTGGCACAAGAGATACAAGGAGCTCTGATGGGGGCCTGTGCTGTGGATGAGCCACAGGAGCAGAGAGGGGAGGGCAGAATCAGGAGATGTTTAAGAGGGTCTGATGATTGAATGGATATGGGGAATTCAGGAGAGCAAAGCTCTAGGATGACATCCAGTTTTCTGGCTTGGGTCATTGGCTGGATGATGGGGCTGTACTGAGACTGCAAATGTGGGAAGACACGCAAGTTTTCATGGGGAAATGAGGAGTTCAGTATGGGTGTGCTGAGTTTGAGATGTCTTGAGACTTCTGGTTCATGTGTATGGGACCATTTGGGTAGTCAAATCTTCAGGAGAAAGATCTGGGCTGACAGATGCCAATTTAGGAGATTAAAGAAGAGATTCAGAAAGACATCAGGTAAAGGAAGATCAGGACTGAAAATTGGTTCTGTGGTTAAGGATGACAACATTTTCCATTTATCAGCCCATTTTGTCAGTTCTGTATTACATTAGACCCTTATACACTGTGATGGTTAATTTTAGGCATCAACTTGGCTGGGTTAAGGGATGCCCAGATAGCTGGTAAAACATTATTTCTGCATGTCCTCGGGGGTGTTTCTGGAAGAGATTAGCATTGGAATCAGTAGACTGAGTTAGGAAGATCGTCCACACCCATGTGAACATCATCTAATCCACTGAGAGCCCAATAGAACAAAAAGGTGGAGTAAAGGGGAATTCACTCTCTCTTCTGCAGCTGGGACATCTATCTTCCTCTTCCCTCAGACATTGGAGCTCCAGGTTCTGGGGCCTTCAGGCTCAGGACTTAAACCAGTACCTCCTACAGATTCGCAGGCCTCCAGCCTCAGACTGAGAGTTATACTGTCAGCTTCCCTGGTTCTCCAGCTTGCAGTGGCACAGCGTGGGGCTTCTTGGCTTTCATAATCACGTGAGCCAATTCTCATCACAAATCCCCTCTTACATATCCACATCAGTATATTCTATTGGCTCCATTTCTCTGACTAATGCATATCCCTTACCTCATTTGTTCTCACAGCCACCCTATGACACCAGACACCTCATTTTGCCAGATGTGAGACAGACATTCACAGGTGGTAAGTGACTTGCCCCAATTCACACCTGGATTAAATGGTAATCCAGCATGCAAAGCCCACAGTCTTTCCATGGCCTAGGAAGTTAGCAGGGACGTTGGACTGTGGAGTTACCAACCCAGACACCCAGAGTGTGCCAGGCCTGGTGCTGAGGTCCAGGGCAGAGGGTATTGTGGAGCAGGGTACAGGCTCACAGCGGGAGCTCTCACAGCTATGACCCGTCTGAATGTGCCTGTGGGTTCAGCCAAAGCCCATGGGTGTGGGCAGCCTGGAATCTGAGGCCGGTCAGCTGTGGTCCCTGTCTCCTGGCAGAAGATGTGCTTGGTTCGGGGTTGGCTTGCCCTGGTTTGGCCTGGGAAGATCCCCAGAGACAAGCTTCCCACAGCGGTCAGCTCCAAGTCGGCTGACCAGAAAGCACTACAGCCCACAGAGTGTCCCTGGAGACCAGCAGCAGAGCAGCTGCCTTCCCCAGTTCTCTGTTTTCTGCCTGCCCTGCCTGTGTTACTATCTCAGCCTGACCTGATAGTGACAGGGACTTGATCCTGCCTAGGGACTGTACATTTTCTCCCATGGAGTGAGAGAGGCAGTGCCAGCTCCCAGCCACCACCATTGCCCTAGGACAAAGTGCCACTCTTGCTTGATGGGAAGCCAGGCTTAGTGGACTGCCCTGCTACTGATGGTCTTGCTGCAAGCAGGGCGGCCACTCTTGACTCCCTCCATTGTGCTAGGGTCTTACCATCCTCTGGGGCCTTCACATCAAAGTTCACCTCAGAACCTGTGAAGAGAGAATGGATTTATTTTGCAAGATGAGGTTACACCCAAGGGAGGACTTAGTGACCACTGGGTCATTATTGTGTTCATCATTAAAAGTTCCGATTAATTGCACAGTGTGGGCTTAGTTTTTTTTTCAGAGTTGATCATTGTCCCTGGGGAAATTTGTAGTCTGAGACGGATAGGCTTGTTCAAAATGCAAGTGGTAGAAAAGACATTTGCAAACATCAGGCAGAATCCAGAACTCAACAGATGGAAAGAATGTGAACTTAAGGAAAAAGACATATATCTTAGATATGACACCAAAAACTCAAGCAATGACAACAAAGTAGATAAATAGAATAATTAAAATAAAATATTTGTGCTTCAAAGGATACTATCAAAGAGGTGAAAGGGCAACCCACAGAATGGGAGAAAATATTTGCAAATCATATATCTGAGAAGGGACCTGTAGCCACAATACATAAAAAAAAAAAAAACTATTACAACTCATTGATTAAAAAAAAAAAAGGCTGGATGTCGTGGCTCATGTCTGTAATCCCAGTACTTTTGGGAGGCCAAGGCTAGAGGATTGCTTGAGCCCAGGGGTTCTAGATGAGCCGGAACAACATAGGGAGACCCTTTCTCTACAAAAAACAATTTTTTTTAAAGTATCTGGACATGGTGATGGGCACCTGTGGTCTCAGCTACTTGGGAGGCTGAGCTGGGAGGATCACTTGAGCCTGGGAAGTCAAGGCAGCAGTGAGCCATGATCGGGCTACTGGATTCCACCCTGGGTGACAGAGGAAACCCTCTGTCAAAAACAAAGAAGGCCAGGCACGGTGGCTCATGCCTGTAATCCCACCACTTTGGGAGGCCAAGGCTTGAGCCCAGGAGTTTGAGACTAGTCTGGGCAACATGATGAAACCCCATCTTTACCAAAAATGCAAAAATTAGCCAACCTCATACTCAGTCTCAAAATAAATAAATAAATAAATAAATAAAAATTAAATTAAGGCCGGGCGTGGTGGCTCACGCCTGTAATCCCAGCACTTTGGGAGGCTGAGACGGGCGGATCACGAGGTCAGGAGATCGAGACCATCCTGGCTAACATGGTGAAACCCCGTCTCTACTAAAAATACAAAAATTAGCCGGGCATGGTGGCGCGCGCCTGTAGTCCCAGCTACACGGGAGGCTGAGGCAGGAGAATGGCGTGAACCCGGGAGGCGGAGCTTGCAGTGAGTCGAGATCGCGCCACTGCACTCCAGCCTGGGCGACAGAGCAAAACTCCGTCTCAAAAAAAAAAAAAAAAAAAAAAAAAAAAAAAAAAAAATTAAATTAAAAAATTAAAACAAATGAAAACAAATCAAATAACCCAATTTTTAAAATGGGAAAACAAATATTTCTTTAAAGAAGACATACAAATGGCCAATAGGTGCATGAGAAAATGCTCAATATCATTAGTCATTTGGGAAATGCAAATCAAAACCTCTGTGAGATACCACTTCGTACCCACTGGGATAGGCAAAGATGTGGAGAAATTGGAACCCTCAAACATTGATGGTAGAAATGTAAAATGGTGCAGCCACTATAGAAAACAGTTTGGGGCTGGGAGCAGTGGCTCACGCCTGTAATCCCAGCACCTTGGCAGGCCAAGGAAGGCAGATCGCTTGAGGTCAGGAATTCGAGACCAGCCTGGCCAACATGGTGAGACCCCATTTCCACTAAAAGATACAAAAAATAGCCAGACGTGGTGACAAGCGCCTGTAATCCCAGCTACTCAGGAGGCTGAGGCAAGAGAAACACTTGAACCCTGGAGGCGGAAACTACAGTGAGCCGAGATTGTGCCACTGCACTTCACCCTGGGTGACATAGGGAGAGTCTTGTCTCAAAAAAAAAAAAAAAATTAAAAAAAATTTTAAAAAAGAACACAGTTTGGTGGCTCCTCAACGAGTTAAACAGAGAATTGCCACATGACTCAGCAATCCCACTTCTAAGTCTATACCCAAAAGGATTGAAAACAAACAGGTACTTAAATAGTTGTACACAAATGCTCATAGAAGCACTACTCGCAATAGACAAAAAGTGGAAATCACCCAGATATCCATCAATGGATGAATGGGTACAAAAAAATGTGAACATTATTCAGCCATTACAAAAAGTAAAGTGCTGATGCATGCTACAACATAAATAAACTTTGAAAACGTTATGGTAAGTGAAAACGGCCATACTTAAAAGGTCAAATTTTGTATGATTCTATTTATATGAATGTCCAGAATAGGCAAATCTGTAGACACAGAAAGCAGCTTGTTGGATGCCAGGGGCTGGGGAGGGTGGAGGGATAATGGCAAGTGACCACTAGAGAGTATGGGGTTTCATTTCGGGGTGATGAAAATGTCCTGGAATTAGATAGTGGTAACGGTTGCACAACTCTGTGAATACACTAGAAAACACTAAATGTTGTATTTTAAAAAGGTGAGTGATATGTTATGTGAATCATATCTCAATTGAACAAAAGAAGGCTGTAGGCTGGGCATGGTGGCTCACGCCTGTAATCCCAGCACTTTGGGAGGCCGAGGCAGGCGGATCACCTGAGGTCAGGAGTTCAAGACCAGTCTGGCTAACATGGTGAAACCCCGTCTCTACTAAAAAGTACAAAAATTAGCCTGGAGTGGTAGTGTGTACCTGTAATCCCAGGTACTCAGGAGGCTGAGGCAGGAGAATCGCTTGAACCGGGAGGCGGAGGTTGCAGCCACTGCACTCCAGTCCAGTCGACAGAGCAAGACTCTGTTTCAAAAAAAAAAAAAAAAAAAGGCTGTAAACTCCTTGGTCAATTGTGAGAACTTGTTCTCCAGCGCCCCCTATGGGGGATCACAGACTCTGTTGCCTCCATGTTGAAGGACAGGATAGCCAGGGACCTGGAACAAGAGCCCTGGCAAAGTAGCTTGAGCAAAAGGGAAGATTTGCCAGATAGATGCAGAAATATCTGATGGTACCTGAGGGCAGCCAGGGCAGGACTTTCAAGGCAGTGAAGACACAAAGGGGGAAGCTGGCCGGAGCCCAGGCAGCCCCTCTCCCAGCCTCCTTCCTTTCTCTGCCCCAACCTCCTCAGGCTCCAGGGACTTCTGTTTTTCTCTGTTATGTAAGAATCCTCATGACCAGTCTGAAGGTTCTGTCTGCTTATCGGTGGCTCACCAGTGGAGCCCTGGAAACACCCGACCCTGGCACTCTATGTTCCAGCTCTAGGAGATAGTGGACCTGCCTGGCTTCTGGATTAATTCTCCGTGGTCAAACGTCCACTCAAAGTCCGATCAGCTGGACCTCAGAAGAGGCTGGAAATGGGCTGCTCCTCTTGGATCCTAAGGATGGTTTGTGTCACTAAGCAGGAGACAGACAGGGCTGAAGAACACAGAAACCAGGAACTCAAATATGCTGTGTCTCTTCTCTCTGTTTCCCTCCCTCTCAGCTCTCTCCCTGCACTGCACACTGGCAGCAGCTCCAGACCTGCACACCCTGGAGAAGGAAGGATTGGGATTCTTCCACTTCCAACCCAGTGAATCTGAGGGAAGAACTCTGCCTAATCCAGCTTGTCCTGAGGTCAAAGAAGCCCCAGAGGAAGGGTGATAATACTGCTAGGGCCCCCTCTATAGGCGTGTGCATGGGGTGGAACAGTTCCCAAGAAGGGGAGGGGAAGGCACAACTACAGTCATCTACTACAAGATCTATAAAAGCTGGGGAGAGGGGTTGAGGAGAGCATAGGACCACCAGCCTGTCTGATCAACATGTGAGGCCTTCTTGGAGGAAGGCAGGATTTCCAGAGTGTTTCCATGGTAGGAACGTTACTATTTGCCATCAAATTGCAGGATTGCTAGAACATGGGATTTGAAACCCCCTCAATGGATTCTGAAAATCAGGGAAGGTGAAGGGAAGACCTCATCAATAAGATACCGTAATACACAAGCCTGTTAGGAAGCTACCATGTGCTCGGTACTTCCCATTCCCCGAGCACCTCCTCAAATGAGTTCCTTTCACTGTTTTTCAGATAAGGGAAACTGAGGCTCTGAAAGGCATACTTATCTGAGCAGAGCAGGATCCCTGGAGGGCTCAGACTCCAGCCCAGACCCCTTCTATCATGGTGTACTGCCCCACCCTTTGCAGACCTCTTAGGTGGTGGGGGATCAGGCCTGGGACTAGATGAGGGGGACTGGATGTGTGTGGCCAGATGGGAGCAGCCTAGACCTCAGGAACTAAAGCTGCAGGGCACGTGGCCTTCCCTAGGCACTGCAGAGCTCTGTGGGAACTGATGAGGTGGGAGGAGGCAGTGTTTCTATGTGTGGGAGATCATATCCTTCCAATAAACACATGCGTGAGGGGCCTGGGGCTCCTCCCTGTGACTGAGGCCATTTGTTTCTAAGCAGTAAACTGTGACTGACCTGGAGACCAACCAATGCTTCCAGGGAAGATGCTCATCGGATGCCCTCCAGCTTCAAGATGGCTTCCTCAAGGGCCTCCCCAGCTCCCCACTCCAGATGTTGGGGCCCTTCTGTGACCACCATCTTTGAGGTGACAGGCCTGTGAGTGGTCAGTTTGTTCCAGAGAAGTCTTTGGGAAATGCAATCACTGTTTACACATTCCTGTTGGACTCAGATTTAGGACAGATGAAGCAGATGTGTCCTGGATATCCCAGAGGGGAGGGCTGGGCCCATGGGAGAAGACACAGGAAGGAATGTTCCGACTCAATATGAAGAGAGACTTCCAGGGGTTATAGACGTCTCTAGAATGAATGTGGGTTACTCTGGAGGAGTGAGCTCCCCTTGGTCTGAGGTATACAAGCTGAGACTGAATGTCACCGTGGAAGACAGATGAGGAAGGAATCACAGCAACACAAGTGAATTAAACTATGAGACTTTCAAAGTCCTCTCCCAGGCAGGGCCCAGTGGCTCACACCTATAATCCCAGCACTTTGGGAGGCAAAGGCCAGAGGATCGCTTGAGCTCAGGAGTTCGATACCAGCTGGGCAGCATAGAAAGTTTTGAAATGTTCTACAAAATAATTAAAAATTAGCCGGGTGTGGTGGTGTGTGTCTGTAGTCCCAGCTACTCAGGAGGCTGAGGTAGGAGGATCTCTTGAGCGAGGGAAGTTGAAGCTGCTGTGAGCTATGATCATGTCACTGCACACCAGCCTGGGCAACAGAGCAAGACCCTATCTCCAAAAAATAAAATAAAAAGAAAATGAAGTCCTCTTCCAGCCCTGATTTTTCAGGTTTCTATACTCTTCCTCTTGCAAGCTTTATTTCCACTCCACTATCACCTTTTGGTTTAGGGAAACAAATTATGTGATGAACATGGCTTCTGGCTTCTCAGTGTCCTTCCTACCCTCCCAATGTTCAGGAACTGCTGCCATGCAGTTCTAGGTGGGGAGGGGTGGGGGGCTTGTCCCGCCCCCAGCACTAGAGGAGGCCCTAGTTTGCCTCAGTCAGTCAGCATAGCCACATCTCTTGCCACAGTGGCTGCTGGGTGGGCAGTACCTGAAGACCAAGGCAGTCCAGAGAGAGTATTCGCTGGGACACAGGTTTTGGCTCCGGTGGAGGCATGGAGCTCAGCAGGGTGAAGCAGAGCAAGGCCCAGGACTTGTGTGTGATGATGGTGGGAGGGAGTGTCCCCTGTCTTTGGCCTGACGGAGGAAGCACATGCCCTGGTGCGACAGATGCGCTCGTGCCCTTGCTCATATTCTCCTATCTCGTATTACCAGCTTTTGCTTTTTATTTTATTTTATTTTATTTTGAGACGGAGTCTTGCTCTGTCGCCCAGGCTGGAGTGCAGTGGCGCGATCTCAGCTCACTGCAGGCTCTGCTCCCCGGGTTCACGCCATTCTCCTGCCTCAGCCTCCCCGAGTATCTGGGACTACAGGTGCCCGCCACCACGCCCGGCTAATTTTTTATATTTTTAGTAGAGACGGGGTTTCACCGTGTTAGCCAGGATGGTCTCGATCTCCTGACCTCGTGATCTGCCTGCCTTGGCCTCCCAAAGTGCTGGGATTACAGGCGTGAGCCACCGCGCCCGGCCTTTTTTTTTTCTTTTTTGAGACAGGGCCTCTATCACCCAGGCTGGAGTGCAGTGGTGTGATGATGGCTCACTGCAGCCTTGACCTCCCAGGCTCAGGTCATCCTCTCACCTCAGCCTCTTGAGTAGCTGACTACAGGTGTGCACCACCACGCCTGGCTAATTTTTGTATTTTTTTTGTGGAGATGGGATTTTGCCATGTTGCCCAGGCTGATCTCGAACTCCTAAGCTCAAGTGACCCTCCCACCTCAGCTTCCCAAAGTGCTGGGACTACAAGGATGAGCCAAGGCACCTGGCCTGGCTTTTGCTTTTTTTTCCCACTGGCTGCTGGAGCCCACTCCACCTGCTCCAAGGCAGGCCCAAAGTGCCATGCATACTTAGTGGGACAGCTCTGACACATGGTTTTATGTTGGTCCCTGAAATTCCTCAGTAAGATTGTACTCTAGTTTTCCAGAGGTAATTTTCCAGATAGCCCTTTATGGGCTGTTTTCCTTCCCTGTATCAGTTTCTCATGTTCCTACTGGTGTTTCTGAATAACTGGTGTTTATTTGGAATTAGTTTCCAAATAAACTCCTTATCCTCATATCCTTGTCTCAGGATCTGGGGAGACTCTAATGTGAGACACATGAACTGGTGCTGATGGCTGCCCTAAGCTGTAATAGGAGCGAGCCTTAGGATGGGATCAGGACCACGGAAGAAGGCAGAGCTGAAAGAACATGAAAAGTGGCTCCTTGGGACATCGAGAAACCCTTGGGCCCACCCTTCCTTGAAGTCTGCCTGTGCTCCAGCTGTTACATTATTGTGAACAATGAATTTCCTTTCTAGTTAAGCCAGCTTGAGTTGCATTGAGTTTTCTATTACTTGGAAACAAAAGCATTGTAAGCGATATAATTCATAACACGGAGTGGCCTAACCATAACCTTGCAGCCTGGTGTAGTGAACAGTAAATGTTTGATGATAAGACAAGGAGAGGCCAGGCATGGTGGCTCACACCTGTAATCCCAGCACTTTGAGAGGCCGAGATGGGAGGATTGCTTGAGTACAAGTGTCTGAGACCAGCCTGGGCAACATGGCGAAACCCCATGTCTATAAAACATGCAAAAATTAGCTGGGCATGGTGGCGCATGCCTGTAGTCCCAGCTACTAGGGAGGCTGAGGTGGGAGGAGCAATTGAGCCTGGGAGGTCAAGGCTGCAACGAGCTGTGATTGTACCATTGCACTCCAGCCTGGGCAACAGAGTGAGACCCTATCTCAAGAAAAGAAAAAAAAAAAACAAGGGAGAAGGAGTGACAGCTGGCTGAAGAAGGCACAGTCAGGCAGGAGGGACACAGTTCAACTCTCAGTTCTGCCACTTAGCAGTTAAGTGATTTGACACATTACTTCTGTCTTATTTATAAAACAGGAGCAATGTTTCCAGTCTTTCAGGGTTATTGTGAAGATTTTGAAAATCACTTTTGAAAAGTAGCTAGCACGTAGCAAGTGTTCAATAAATGGTAGCTCTTCTTGATAATAGAAAAAGGAAAAGAAGGAGGAAAGAGGGAAAGGAGCAGTAACAGGAAGATTTCCTCTGTGCACTTGACGATTTTTTTTTTTTAAGACAGAGTCTCACTGTGTCGCCCAGGCTGGAGTGTAGTGGCAGGATCTCGGCTCACTGCAACCTCCACCTCCCGGGTTCAAGCAATTCTCCTGCCTCAGCCTTCTGAGTAACTGGGATTACAGGCGCGCACCACCATGCCAGGCTAATTTTTGTATTTTTAGTACAGACGGGATTTCACCATGTTGATCAGAATGGTTTCCAACTCCTGACCTTGTGATCCACCTGCCTCGGCCTCTCAAAGTTCTGGGATTATAGGCGTGAGTCACTGTACCCAGCCCCTTGACAATCTATTTAGCTAACAGAAGTTTAGAGTTGGGGAGGGGAGTGGTCGGGTCTGACTGGAAGGAGGGTCTGTCTTGGGATGTGAGGGAGGTAGGGTTAGTGGCTAACATCTACTGAGCACTTTTCAAGCACCAGGCACTGTTCTGAGTCTTTTCCACTTATAATTCTTTTAGTCTTCCTAAAGACTCTTTGAGGCACATACTACTATTACCAATCATTTATCCCTTTACACAGAAGGAAACTGAGGCACAGACAGGTTAAGTAACTTGCCCAAGATCTCACAGAAAGTATATGGCAGAGTCAGATGAGAACCAGGTGGTCCAGCTGCAGATCCCACACTCCTGACAGCTGCTGACTCTTTGGAGCCTGAGACAAGGTTAATGTCACAGATGCTGGATGACGTGAATTATAGGACAAGACATTTGGATTCTGTCCTGTAGGTGGTAAAAGTTTACTGGTGCAGGTCTGGGGACAGTGAGAACATTGCATAATCCCCGGGTAATCGGTTACATAACTATGGAGTCATCCTTGGAACCAGGTTTTTACCCCATTGTTCCCATGGGAACAAATCCTCCAATGTATTTTTCAAAGAGGAAACCAGAGAGTTGCGAGGCTGCTGTTGACCCCTGGGAGAGAAGAGCCAACAATGTAGGAGGAAGATCGAAGGTTGAAATAAACACTAAGAGAAACTTCCGAGGGGCTGTAAGACCCTAAACCGTGCTCTGGTGAGGCACTGGGAATCATCCTTCCCCAAAGAAGGGATTTTCACTCATCTGAAGGTGGTTTAGGGGCTGACAAAATACCACGAGGCCCTTCAAAAATGAACTGCAGAAAAGGGGAAGAAATTACAGCTCTTCCAATTTCAAGTCACACAGCCTTCTTGTCTACCCCCCAAAACCTAAAAAAATTGCAGCAAAGATAGTTATTTTTTTTATTTTCTACAATCTCTTGAGTTATTCATAGGGGAGACATACAGAGACAGACTTTTACAATATAAGGAAGCAAGTATTACAACAGACACCACCACTGGGTCCTGCTGCTACAAGAGCCCACAGGAAGGATGTCAAGGTCTCAGTGGGCCGTCAGGGTCAGGCAAAGCCTTGCAAAGAGACACTCAACTATGTGTGGAGGTGAACCTAGCAAAGAAGAGAGGCAGGACATTCCAGACTAAAGCATGGAACAACTAGGGAACTACAAGCAGTGCCACCAGACCGGGGCAGGGAATGCAGCAGAGGCCAGCTCCAAGGTCCAGATCATGAAGTAGTTTTAAGAGACTAAGTGGTTAGGCCGGGTGCGGTGGCTCATGCCTGACATCCTAGCACTCTGGGAGGCCGAGGCAGGTGGATCACTTGAGGCCAGGAGTTCAAGACCAGCCTTGCCAACATGGTGAAACCCTGCCTCTACTAAAAAATAAAAAAATAGCAGGGTGTGGTGGCACGTACCTGTAATCCCAGCTACTTGGGAGACTGAGGCATGAGAATTGCTTGAACCCAGGAGGCAGAGGTTGCAGTGAGCCAAGATCGCAGCACTGCACTTCAGCCTGGGCAACAGAGTGAGACTCTTTAAAAAAGAGAGAGAGAGAGAGAGAGAGAGAGAGAGAGAGACTAAGGGGTTAGAAATAATTTTGAAGAAAATAATTAAAGGACTTTAAATAGAAAAAATATCCAGCTAGTAGAAGGTATTGGGGCATGTCTTATTTTAAGAAGAAGTCATAAATGAATAAATTTAATTCAATCCTAAATTTAAAAGGGGAAAAAAAGAAGACATTAACAAGAGTTCTGGGGCCAGATGTGGTGGCTCAGCCCTGTAATCCCAGCACTCTGAAGGGGTCAAGGTGGGAAGATCACTGGGAGTTAGGAGTTTGAGAAGAACCTGGGCAACATAGTGAGAACTCATCTCTAAAAAAACTTTAAAAATTAGCTGTCTGTGGTGGTGCATTCCTGTAGTCCCAGCTACTTGGGAGGCTGAGGCAGGTGGGTTGCTTGAGCCAGGGAGGTTGAGGCTGTAGTGAGCTATGATTACACCACTGCACTCCAGCCTGGGCAACAGAGTGAGATCCTATTTTTAAAAAACAATAAATAAATAAATTAATTAATTAGAGTTCAGTTTATGAAAAAGAAATAACTCTTTTCTTGGCAATTTTAAATTATACTGTAGTATCATAAAGGTATGAATTTTCAAGTCTGAACTTAATTCCTTCATACATTTCATAAACTAAACCTCTTAACACATTTTCAAAAGCAGATATAATTTTGAGGTTTCCTTTATAATAATCATGATTTTATTTTGACGCTAGCTCCTGATGTGCTGTAACAACCAAATAAAGAGATCACAAAGCACTATCACTTTTACTGCTGTTACCATAGCAATGAGACATAGAGGTTCAATCTTCATAGCATGGCCTTCGAAACTACAGCAGATATTGAAAAGCTACCATATAAATACATAGCAGTTTTCAGAAATAAAAAGATCCATAAGCCAGCCAGAAACTTTGAGGACTTTTTCAGAAGCCCCAATCAGAAGGGGTGTGATCTGAAGAGGGAAGGAGTGTCACAGGAGGCAGGTGGTACAGCCAGGGCAAGCCATCTCCACTCAGCTAAAGTTCAGGCAGGGCACTCGGCTGCAGGTAGCACCTAGAGTGTCCTTAGGATACAGGCTGTAAGCGAGGGCGCTGAGCGGATGAAACTACCCAGGGAGAAGGTGCCTAGGAGAGTGAACAGAGAGAAAAGTTAAAGGCCGAGGCTGTGAGGGGTGGGCAGAGGGAGAGGATTCCATTTAATGATGAGTCATTTCTTTATGGACTCTATCTAACCCTAATCTTTATCACCTCTGTTGTTTCCTCCAGAAGGTCTGCTGCGAGGCACTATTTGTTAGGAAATGAGGGTGGAGGTGACAAGCAGGGACTGGAGAAGTATTTAGTTTCAAGTGTATTCTTGGGGTTCCTGCCAACTTTGCCCCTTTTCCGTGTCCCCCCATCAGTGTCTTTTCTCCAGGCTGAGCCATATCCAGACACCACCATACTCTGGGGCCTCCATTTCAGAATGTTGAGCCAATTCCTCTCCCTTCTCAATAGGTTAGGGCCTTCAAAGCCCTAAGGGGAGAGGGTTGGAACCTAGCTTTACTGGGACAGGTGCAGGGAGAGAGATTTGGAGTCACAGTTGCCGTGACTTTACTGATGCGGGCTCTACCAACCTCAACCTGAGGGAGCTCAAGTCTGAACCTCTATGAAAGGAAAGGCGGATACCTCCAGTTGAAATTGGTGGATTGAGCACTGGCATTAGCTTTTTACTCCATCCCACTAAAATGACAGAAAAAGGGACAAGAAAAGGTATAAACCCA
The DNA here is from genome assembly GCF_000001405.40 of Homo sapiens. Lineage (NCBI taxonomy): Eukaryota > Metazoa > Chordata > Mammalia > Primates > Hominidae > Homo > Homo sapiens. Next base: position 79,476,005 of record NC_000010.11, read on the forward strand.
CACAACAGTGAGACTAGAAAAGGGAGTTATGCAACATAATTTTTCAGCCTAGAACGATGACAAAAGAGTGTAACTGACTCAGTAGACCAAAGAAAGCTGAATCATAATTGGGCAGGTGAAAAGCCATGCAGCAAGTTCATTTATATTGCAGAACCTCCAAAAAGCTCGGGAACAGGCAGTATCCCTTTCCTCTGGAAGTGGGCTGAAGATGGTGGATCCAAAAAAAATAAAATCATTGGTCAAAAGTCTGTTTTATTACCCAACTGATTTGCAAACATATGCCCTCACAAAAACCTGCATGCAAATGTTTACAGCTGCTTTATTCCTAATCACTCCAAACTAGATGCATCCAAGATGTCCTTGAATAGGTAAATGGATAAACTGTGGCATACTCATACAATCAAATATTATTCATTGTCAAAAATAAATGAGCTATCAAGTTTGAACACACATGAGTGAATCTTAAATGTATATTGCTAAGTGAAAGAACCAATTTTGAAAAGACTGTACACTATTTGATCCCAAATGTAGGATATTCTAGAAAAGATGAAACTATAGAGAAAGTAAAAAGATCAGTGATTGTCAGTGAGTGGGGAAGGGTTGAGTAAAGCACAGGGTATTTTTAGGGCTGTGAAACTATTTTGTATGATACTGTAATGGTGCAGTTGTCAAAATCTATAAGACTTTACAGCACAAAGAATGAACCTCAATTTATGCAAAATTGAAAAAAATTATTTAGGAGGTCAGCAGATCCCAGAGTGGAATGAAGAATGTGACAAAACAATTTAACTGTGTTACAAATGCAGGAACCAAGCTGACTGAAGGTGATGAGGGGAAAAGGTGCTGACCCAAGTAATTTTGGAAATGAGTGGAATCTGTACACTAAAGGAAAAAAACTGAACATAATTACTGTACTGTAGTTATAATCTAGTTATTTCCCATGGAACACAGGCTAACAATTTTGATACTGCTCTGTATGTATACCAGAACTGAACAATTAGGCAAGTGGCTGGAGCCTGGTTTCTCACTGTTGGAGTGGGAGGTTACAGATCAGCAAGGGGAAGAGGCTAGAATGATCCATTTATTAATGGTTTAGAGTGGGAGTGAACCATACGAACTCATGCTTAGCTTAATACAGATACCATGTCAATGGTTACATATAGAAACTTTTATGTTTTTATGACCTTGTAGTACCAGAAAGTAAATAAGTGCTCAGTTAAACAACAACAACAACAACATACATACATACACACACACACACACACACACACACACACACACACAATGCACCCACAATAATGGGTATGTGTCAAACTGCCATACTGAAAGAACTCCTAATAGCCAAAGCTGGAACAATTTGAGCAAGTAAATAAAGTAGTATTGGATTATAACCCAAAGTACAAAATAAATACCTGTGAGCTCATACTGATATAAATAATGATTTAATAAATAAACAGGGGAGAAAAGTCAAATCTCCTGTTCAGAAAAATCTCAAATAATTTGTGGAAATACTCTTCCCTCAAGGATGTAGAACATAGCTCCCCAGTCCTTAAACGTGAGCTGCGCATAGTGACTTCCTTGTGATGAATACAGTGTGGAAAGCGGTGGAGTGTGGGGTAGAAAGAATGACTTTACAGAGGATAAACCTGACAAACACGATCTCGGCCAGTTGAGCAAAGTTGCACATCAGTGATACGTCATGTTGATAGTATGTAAGCTTGATATAATGCATCTCTATGGTCTTTCTCTCAAGAACACACAAGCCTGGTCTAACCGCAAGAAATACATCAGACAAATCCCAATTGAAGGACATTCTACAAAATACCTAACCAACACTCCTTAAAATAGTCAAAGTCATCAAAAGCAAGGAAGGTGTGGGAAACTGTCACAGCCAAGAGGAGGCTAAGGAGACATGACTGCTAAATAAAAAGTTTATTTTCAAAAAATCAATAGAAACAACAAATACTAAATAATGCTAGCTAAAACCCAGAATGCCCTGAACAATCTACTTCACTAAAATATATAGAAGTGTTTTCTGGGCCAGGGGCAGTGGCTCATGCCTGTAATCCCAGCACTTTGGGAGGCCAAGGCAGGTGGATCACAAGTTCAGGAGTTCAAGACCAGCCTGGCCAACATGGTGAAACCCCGTCTTTACTAAAAATGCAAAAATTAGCTGGGCATGGTGGTGGGTGCCTGTAGTCCCAGCTACTCAGGAGGCTGAGACAGGAGAATCACTTGAACCTAGGAGGCAGAGGTTGCAGTGAGCCAAGTTCATGCCACTCCACTGCAGCCTGGGCAACAGAGCGAGACTCCATCTCAAAAAAAAAAAAAAATTCCTGGTACGAGTGTTGTGCTCAAATTTATTCCTTGTAAATACAGATTGAGGGTAATAAACCTAGATCTCTGGATGAATAGATGACCAGAAAGAATAAATTTTAGTAAATTTTATCTTAGGATGACATAAAAATAATTCCATTATATTTTTTGAAAATAGATTATTAGAAATTAGAGTAAGTACATATGTATATAGTATCCCTACTTCTAATTTTAAAACTTAAGTCCACAAATAAACTGAAAAGACATTAGATGTCATTCTTGTAGAATATTAAAACACCGAGGGAAGGTGAAAATTCCCCCTTGGAATAAACTTAATATATTATGTCCCCAAAAGTCTAAAAAATCTAAGAAGTAGGTAAACCCCAGATCTGTTCACCTCACCACACAGATGAGGAACAATCTGCACTCCACCTCAGCCAAATCTAGAGGCTCATTATCTAGAAAGGATAACATTGGAGTGCACAGACAGAAAGACACCAAGCATTGAGGGGTGTGGAGTATTAAAAATACGTATTAAAAAGAAGTTTACAGCCAGGCGAGGTGACTCATGCCTGTAATCCCAGTACTTTGGGAGGCCGAGGCAGGCGGATTACCTGAGGTCAGGAGTTTGAGGTCAGTCTAGCCGACATGATGAAATCCCATCTCTACTAAAAATACAAAAAAGTTAGCCAGGTGTGGTGGCAGGTGCCTGTAATCCCAGCTACTCTGGAGGCTAAGGCACGAGAATCGCTTGAAGCTGGAAGACAGAGGTTGTAGTGAACCAAGATCATGCCACTGAACTCTAGCCTGGGCAACAATAGCTAAACTCCATCTCAAATAAATAAATAAATAAAATACTACTTACTACTACAGCCGTTATGGGCAATGGCTTACTACTACAGCCATTATGGGCAACAGTTATGGAGGTTCCTCAGAAAATTACCAGCAGAGCTACCATGTGATCCAGCAATCTCATTTCCCGGGATATATGCAAAAGAAATGAAATCATATGTCAAAGAGATTTCTGAACTCCCAAGATCACTGCAGCATTATTTACAATAGCAAAGATATGGAAGCAATCTAAGCATCCATCAACAGATGAATGGATTAAAAAATGTGGTACATATACACAATGGAGTACTATTCAGCCATAAAAAAGAAGGAAATCCTGCTATTTGCAACAACATGGATGGACCTGGAGGGCATTACGTTAGGTGGTGTAAGCCCAGCACAGAAAGGCAAATACCACATAATCTCACTTGCATGTGGAATCTAAAAAAGTAGCACTCATAAAAGCAGGGTAGAATGGTGGTTACCAGGGACTGGGGGTTGGCAGGATTAAGTTGTTGGTCATAGAATACAAAATTTGAGTTAGGAAGAGTGTGTTCAAGAGATCTATTGTATAACATGATGACTATGGTTAATAACAATGTGTGGTATACTTGAAAATTTTTAAGGTACTAGATTTCAAATGTTCTCACCACAAAAAAATGATAAGTATGGTAGGTAATACCTCTGTTAATTAGCTTGTTTTAGCCATTTTGCAATGTATGCATAATCAAAACATCACGTTGTATGCCATAAATATATACAGTTTTGTCAATTAAAAAGTAATAAAAATTTTAAAATAATGGGGGCAGGTACAGTGGCTCATGCCTGCCCAGCATTTGGGGAGACTAAGGTGGAAGGATTGCTTGAGGCCAGGAGTTTTTGACTGGCCTAGACAGCGTAGTGAGACTCTGTCTCTACAGAAAAAAAAAAGAATTTTTTTTAAATTAGCTGGGCATGGCGGCATGCACCTGTAGTATCAGCTACTCAGAAGGCTGATGCAGGAGGATTGCTTGTGTCCAGGAGTTTGGAGGCTGAAGTGAGCTGTGATCATGCTACTGCACTCCAGCTTAGGCAACAGAGCAAGACCTGGTCTCTAAAAAATTTTTTAAAATAAAAATAAATAGATGTTTACTTACTAGATGTTGAGACCTCCAGTCTTGTTTCCCCACTCAAATCCCAAACTATGAGCAGCCAGGCTTATAAGGTCTGGGCAAGGACTATACAGGCAGCCTCCCTAACAAAATGCTCAGCCTGATTACCCTAGAGAGGAGCCCTCAGTCACCAAGCACCCCCAACCCAAAACGCATGTGTGCGCGCACGCGCGCACACACACACACACACACACACACACACACACAATCCAGTAAGATATTTTGGTGTCTTCTTCAGATAAGAAGACAGTCAAGAATCACCTGTCATTTGAGGAAAGCTCCTATTAAGAAAGAAAAACAACTTGGAAGAAATAGAGGCTGTTCAGGGGAAAGAAAACTTCAAGAAAAACTGTCATTAATATCCTCAGAGAGACGAGAGAAATTGTTGCATAACTGAAACAAAAAGAAATGTAAAAATGAATATTCAGCAAACAAAAATAGACTTGGAAATTAAACACACAATAAGAATAAAAACTCACTAGATTAAGAGGATAAAAAGACATACCAAAGGCTGGGAGAAAATATTTGCAAACATATATCCTATAAAGAACTTATATTCAAAATATTCAAAAAACTCTTACAACTCAATAATAAGAAAACAAATAACCCAATTTAAAAATTGGTAAAATACCTGAAGAGTTACCTCTTCAAAGAAGATACACGGATGGTAAATAAGCAAGTGAAAAGATAATCAGCATCATATGTCATTAGGGAATTTCAAATCAAAATAGCAATGAGATATCACTTCATACCTATTAGAATGGCTAAAATCCAAACACCACAACCTGAAATGCTGGTGAGAACTGAGGCAACAGGAACTCTCATTCATTGCTGGTGGGAATGGAAAATGGCATAGCCATTTTGGAGAACAATCTGGAAGCTTCTTACAAAGCTAACCATATGAGCTTACCATATGATCTAGCTCCTTGGTATTTACCCAAATGAGTTGAAAACTGATGTCCACACAAAAACCTTTATACGAATGTTTACAGCAACTTTATTCATAATTGCCAAAAACTGGAAGTAACTGAGTTATCCTCCAATAGGTGAATTGATAAACAAACTGTGGTATATCCATATAATGGAATATTATTCAGTGATAAAAAGAAATGATTATCAAGCTATGGAAAAAACATGAAGGAACCGTAAATGTATATTACTAAGTGAAAGAGGCCAATGTGAACAGGCTACATACAATATAATTCCAAAATATGGCATTCTGGAAAAGACAAAACTATAGAGAAGCTAATAATTTCAACTGCCTAAAGTTTGGGGGTCAGAGGAAGGAAGGGATAAGTAGGAAGAACACATTTTTTCAGGGGATTGAAAATATAATATTCTGCATGAAGTATGTAATGGTTGATACATGACATATATTTGTCACAACCCATTGAATGCACAATACAAAGACTGAGCCCTTATGTAAACTAGAGGCTCTAGTTAATAATAATATAGCAATACTAGCTTATCAGGTGTGACAAACGTACCACACTAATGCATGATGTTAATTGGGGAAGTTGTGTGTGGAGGAAGAGGTGCTGTGGGGGAGCTCTAGATTTTCTGTTCAATTTGTCTGGAAACTTGAAACTGCTCTGGAAAGAAGATCTGCTGGCCAGGAGTGGTGGCTCATGCCTGTAATCCCAGCACTTTGGGAGGCTGAGGCGGGCAGATCAGGAGGTAAAGAGATCAAGACCATCCTGGCCAACGTGGTGAAACCCCATCTCTACTAAAAATACACAAATTAGCTGGGCTTGGTGGCTCGCGCCTGTAGTCCCAGCTACTTGGGAGGCTGAGGCAGGAGAATGCTTCAACCCGGGATGCGGAGGTTGCAGTGAGCCAGGATTGTGCCACTGCATTCCAGCCTGGGTGACAGAGCAGGACTCTGTCTTAAAAAAAAAAAATCTGTTAAGTTTTCAAACAAGAATGTGTAAATTTAAGAAAGAAAAAGATTCATTAGAAAGGAAAATGAAATTCAGAAACTCTGTCAGAAAGTAGAGAAAAAAATATAGACATTGAAATCAAGAAAGAAAAGATGAGAAAATCAAAGGACAAGTTCAAGGTCCAACATCTGACCAATAGAAGCACCAGAAACAGAGCAGAGAGAATGCTGGGGAAGACAGTCATCAAAAAATGACTCAGGAAATGTTCCTAGAACTGAAAGACATCCATTCTCAGATCAAAAAGACTCAGCAGGAGTCCTGCACAATTGATGAAAATAGATCCCCAACAAGAGACAAGATGATGAAATGTTGGAACATTTGGAGGAAGAAGAAGATGCTTAAAGATGACAGAGATACAAACAGGTTACATAGAAAGAATCAGTCATTGCGAGGGCATTAGACTTTGCCAGGCACACAGTAGCTAGGAGGCAGTGCAGGAATGCCTTCAAAATTTTGAGGGCAGATTATTTTCAAACTCAAATTCTATGTCCAGCAAAATTATCAATCAAGTGTGAGGGTAGAGTAAGAATATTTTTAGGTATTTGCCTCAACAGCCCCCACTTGCAGGAGCTACTAGAAGAAGCGCCCCACCCAAAATGAGGGTGTAAACGAAGAAAGAGAAAGACTTGGCATCCAGAAAACAGATGTAACACAAGAGAGACAAAGAACAAAGGCGAAAGAAGATCCCTGTGGCCAACTGTGCAGTGAGCCCGGAGACAGGCAGCCAAAGAGGAGCTGGTCAGAGGGGCCTAGAAGGAATTTTTCTAAAAAGACAGAAATGCTAGATTCTCAATTAGGGCTGAACACACTGAGAGGAGATTTACACAGCTGAATTAGTGTTTTGGCAGATAAAATGAAGTCTACAAAACATTAAAAAAAATAGAACAAAATGATAATGATTAATTCCAGAGGAGAAAATACTGTTTGGAAGAGAAAAAGTAACTGTGATATAATTTATGTCTCAGCTGTCGATAGTGTTTACACTATAATAAATGTGAATCCTGAAAATGGCTCTAACCAAAATTACAACAAAATCAGAATGGGAAGATGGGGGGCAGCACAGGAAGTGTGTGTGTGTGTGTGTGTGTGTGTGTGTGTGTGAGAGAGAGAGAGAGGGGTGGCAAAGAGGATAGGAGAGGTGTATGTCAAAGAGACCAGACTCTTATTTTTCACAGTAGAAAGTCCATTGGTAAGTCTTGAAATGGAAAATACAAAAAGTATCAACACAAACAAGTTATTTCGAAATATGAAAGTAAATACCAGAATAATTACTGTAAAAAGAGTTGAGAGTGATTGCCTCTGGGGAAAAAGAAACAGTGGGAACAGGGTAGGAAACTGGTTCTTGTCATAGCAAAAGAATAATTTGTCTTTTAAACTACGTCCATAGATAATTATGACAAAAGTAAAAACAAAAATAGAGAAAAAGAATAAGAGAAGAAAGAAGGCTCACACGTAGACTGTGCACCCACTCTCAGGTAGCACTATTACCAACACCTCCTCAAGCTTTGGCTCATTTAATCCCCACGTGGCACAGTTCCTGTTATCCAGGTGAGAAAAGAGGCCTAGAGACTCTGAAAACCTGCATGGGGCACACATCTAGCAAGAGATTTGCTCAATTCATCCGTCTCCCGGCTCCCCCAACTTTGGGCAACTCTTACCAACACATTATTTTTCTTCTGAGTTAGTTCCTGTAAGGAGGAAAGGTCTGGTCTTTTCCCAAAGCCTTCCTGGAGTTCCTGCTGACTTGGGGACATAACTCTGTCAGTGATTTAATTCATTCCAGATGGAAGGCTCCACTTGGCTCTTAAAACATGCCTTTGGGAGTGCTGAGATTTGCAGATAAGACTTGGGATGAGGGAGGAAGAAAAGGAAGCCAGAGGGTGGCAGAATATGAAGGCTGGGGGTGGGAAAGTCATTTAGGGATGAGTTTGAACCTGATGGAACAGCCTCCTCCACAGCTGTCAGGCCTGCAGCCAGGGTTTGGGGCCTCGGGCCACCAGCCCAGAATCTTAGGGTCAGAGACACATGCACTCCACCCATTCACAAATTCCCCAGACACTTCTGAATGCTCAGTGGCAGACACTGGAGTGGGAGTTGCGATGCAGGGTTGAATAAAATACAAACTACTGCCTTGAGACGTTCACAGTCTAGCAAATGAGACAGCAAAATGGACAAGTGGATAGCGAAATATTTATGATCCTGTGAGATTATAAATATTTGGGACAGAGTACAGAGGGAGGACAAAAGAGAGTCATAGTCATGGAGGAATGGACAGTAGGCTGGGTCATGAAAAATCAACGGGCAAATTCCAGGGAGCAAAGTTGGAAGGGATACACCAGGCAGAGAAAAGGGCAGGGGCAAAGACATGGTGGCCTGCTGGATGGCAAATCATGGAGGCTGGGTGAGAAGGAGCTCTCAGGGTTCCTTGGAGCTGCCCTACACAGCTCGGGGGAGCTGGTATCAGCAGATAGGGTGTCCACTCCTGGTCCCTCCTCTTCTGAGCGTTGTAACCTCAATGAAGGCGCTTCATCTTTCTGAGCATCGGTTTTTAAAATCTATTTATGGAGAAGGTGGTTTTTAAATTAAAAATCAACATGAAAATAATATATCGCATTGTATTGGGAGGGAATTGTTTTTGTTTTTGTTTCTTTAGACACAGGGTTTGCTCTGTCACCCAGGCTGGTGTGCAGCAGCGCAAACATAGCTCACTACAGCTCACTCTCCTGGGCAATCCTTCTACCTCAGCCTCCCGAGTAGCTGGGACTACAGGCATGCACCACCGCACCCAGCCTATATATTTTTTTAAAACCAAGAATGTTGCATACGTGTTTGTGATGAAGAACAAGCTTTTTGGTCCAACTCTCTCTACCCCTGATTCACTTTCCCAAGGCAATGTCTTTTAGCCATTTCTATTTGTATTTATTTAGATGGTTAGCCTCTGTAACTCTACATTAAAGTAGAGTTTGCTTATGGATCTGTTTCTTAATTTACCAACATTAGATAATGAAAAGTAATCATTTAGTTCACATAAACTCCTTTTTCTCTTCTTCTTTGATTCATCTATCTATCTATCTATCTATCTATCTATCTATCTATCTATCTATCTATCTTCTAATCTGTTTTCTACTGGCTATATTTGAACATTTAAACAATTACTTATTTTCTATTTCTTTTTTAAAATTAATTCTATTCACCATCTTGACAACCCTGTATGATGATAAGACTATTAACTCCTCCCTTTTCTTACGTTTTTCCCCCCATTAATGGAGCATTCCATTGGCTACACATTGATTTTTCTATTGTCAAGATAGTTGGCAGGGCACAGTGGCTCACTCACTCTTGTAATATAGAAAATAATGGCAACAATATCTCCCTTTCATTTAAAATGCCAGGTCTTCATATTAAATGAAATGTATGTGAAAGCCTAGAACTGACTTCCTGCCTTGGTACAGCAATCACAATACTGTCTCCAGCTCGGACCTACACTCGGACTAGGTGCACAAGTCTGCTTGCTTCCCAGACCCTGGCTCAAGGACATGAGCTGCTTTGTAGTGAGGTTTTTATTTGTTTACACAAAATAGAAAAGTTGAGGACAATATAGTGAATGTTCCATAACATTAAATTGATTAATTCAGGGGATTTTTATTTACTCTAAAAGTCTGTTCCTTTTACTTATTTTGGTATTAAAATAAAAATGTTATTAAAATTTATAATGAGGGGCCAGCATGGTAGCTCATGCCTGTAACCCCAGCAGTTTGGAAGGCTGAAGCAGGAGGATCACTTGAGCCCAGGAGTTTCAGACCAGCTTGAGCAACGCAGTGAGGCCCTGTCTCTACAAAAAATAAAAAATTAGCCAGGCATGGTGGTGAAAGCCTGTAGTCCCACTTACTTGGGAGGCTGGGGTGGGAGGATTGCCTGATCCCAGGAGGTGGAGGATGCAGTGAGCAATGATTGTACCACTGCACTCCAACCTGGGCAACAGTGAGATCCCATCTCCAAAAAAATTTTTTGGATTAAAATTATCTCACAAAATGATGGATGATTCTTATTCAAAGGCTCCAAAACTGAAATGCAGAACGGATTATATTTTAATGTAGTCCTTGACCAAATAAAAAGTTAGGACTCTTGTTTGGCCTTCCATGTGGGCAGGGGATGCAGTTTGCTTACAGGTCCTTGAAATGCAAATATTTAGGAACCACTGAGCTAAATGGATGGAGAATGGAAATCCAGGTGGTTCTTGACTTTAGCTGCAATGACTTTTGTTTTGAGATAGGGTCTCACTCTGTCACCCAGGCTGAAGTGCAGTGGCCCAATTGTAGCTCATGCAGGCTCAAACTTTTGGGCTCAAGTGATTCTCCAGCCTCAGCCTCCTAAAGTACTGGGATTACAGACATGAGCCCCTGTGCCTGGCCTGCAATGACTTTTTGTCCCCTCTGAGTATGCGCTGTGGAGGTCAGCTTAGGGCGGTACTGAGTGAGTGAGTGGTCTGCATTAGCGAGTGTTGATGAATGAGATGGTGACCTGGGAGGAGACCAGGGCTGACTGCTGGGGCTCAGCCTATGGAACAGGTGGGAATTGGAATTGGAATTCCTCTCTTGGAGATATTGTCCAGGAGAGCCTGTGGCTTTGCTTCTCTTTGAGAACAAAGGAAGGAAAGGGGTTTTGTTACATTAAGATGGCTGGAACTGGAGCATCCAGTGAGTGTCTAAAAATGACATAGAAGGGAGGGTTATTTGAGGCTGGAACCCCAAGAAGCCTCAGGCCAGGTGTGCTACAGAAATCTGGGAAGCCTTCCTGTGGGAGGGAGGGGATGGAATAGAAGTGGCAAAGTGCATGGTGTTTGGGGGGACTGTGGAGGGAACCATCAGGTCAGGCCTGAGGTGGTTAGGGTAGCCTTTTGTGTATGGTGTGATGTAAGCAGCTGTTAAACAGTGGGAAAGGGGGTTCCCTGTCAAATAATTTGGGGAAATGCTAGGTTTAACAAAGTCATACAGGTTTCTTTACCACAGGGCTTGTACATGGTAGTGTGACCAGTGAATCTCCAGGAATCAAATATATGTTTCCTCAAATTACAGACCCTTTCCCTGGAAACTGCCATGGACAGTAGGAGAGAAAAGGGTGGAGGGGTTTGAGGGGCTGAGATCATGGCGAGTCTTGATCCAGAGGCCTCACTCCATCCTGTGTGTGAGAGAAACACGGATAGAGAATTAAACATGCAGAGTCCTGGGGCCCATCCCTAACAGGAGGTCTGAAGCCTGGCCCAGGAATCTATGTGCTTAACAAACTGATTCCCATGCCAGGGCTCCAGGAACCACACTTTGAGAAATGATGAGTGCAGATGAGACAACTCCAATGAACACAAGTCCTGGAAGCCACAGCATTGGACGGCACTTAAGGATTTAAGCCTCCATGAGGATGGAGGGCTGAGAGCTAAGAGCCTAGATCTCCCGCCCCGCTAAGGGATTTGGGTGGGGAGAGCTGAGCCGCCCATGGTCTGGCTGTGCAGGTGACCACAGCGAAGCCACTTGCCTTCCCCCTGGTGTCTGAAGTGAGATACTGCAGATCAGGGCTTGCAGACCTCCCAGAGCAGGTTGGCTGGCAGCTGCCCTCAGAGATGTAAGAGGACAAGGCCCAGCTCAACCCCGCCTCTTCCAGAAAGCCTCTCTCCCCTGGCTCCTCTGTGCTCCTTCAACACCCGTTTCTGAAACACACCACCTCACTTTGCCACACCTCCTCCTGATGTTTCTAAAATGGTTATTTTAGATCTTATGGGAAGGATAGGGGCACTGATAGCTTTATCTCTGAAAGTGGGGAGCCCAGGGACACTGTCTATAGCTGAAAATAGAAGTATCCTACTTAGACTTACAAAGATAACAACCAAGGAGCAAATGCCAGCCATCTAACTGGATGGGGGGGAAGGGGGAGAGGAGATCCCCCATCTGATACGGCCAAATATCTGTAAAACAGATAAATCAAGAGAGCAGAAAGACATCATACTGTATGGCTCCATTTATACGACATTGTGGAGAAGGCAAAATCAGACCCATGGCTGTCAGGGAAGATTTGGGGATGAGCTGAAGAAGGAAATGGCTTTGCAGTCCGGCTGGGAGACAGGACGGGGAGGAAACCTACTGGGGAGCAGGGTGGGTTAGGGAAAGTAACCTACCCCAGCAGACCATGCGACACTAGTGGGAAAAGATCTGCCTGCTTGGCCCAGTGCACAGAGCTTTCCCAACCCTGTCCTGGTTGCTGACTAATGTCTTAGGGATGTGAGAGGCCGGGGGAGGGATGTGGCCAAGGATTCTGGGAGGGGCGGTTACAAGATCTTGGGTAGGAATGAGAACAACAGCAAGAGCAACTGACTTGATCAGAGCTTCCCAACCTATGGGCTTATTTAATCCTCACAATGATTCTATGGACTTCTTATTATCCCTACATGGCAGAGGAGGAGACTGGAGCCCAGTGATATTAGGTAATCTGCACAAAGTAACACAACCAATAAGAGAGAGAGGGTTTTGGACACAGGCACCTTTGGCTTCAGCACCCTTGCCTTTAATGGCCACTGCTCTGTATGGTACGAAGTCCGTGAAGCCAGTGATGGTGGAGAATCTTCTATGACATTCGTGCAATGCAATGCACCTATCCCACCATAGCTTACCCACTTCTGTTGATAGGTACTCACTATTTTCCTGGGAAGGCCATGCTTAAATGGACTCAAAGTCAACTTCCTTATGCATTCATCCACAGCCCCAGTTACCCTTTTAATCCTTGAGGTAGTCACGAGTGCTGCCAGTCAATCATTCCTATCTGCACATGGGCTCTAGGTGTGATTGCACTTCCTGGCCCCATGAAGTTACGTGTTGCCATGTGACTTCCTTTGGCCAGTGAAATGTGAGCAGAAGCCTAAATAGCCAGTGTGTGGCTTACCTCTTTCCTATGCCATTGCTGCAGTGTCTTGGGGAGCTCATGCCTACATGAAGCCTGACTTGCCCTGAATCCCCGAGCAACTAGGATGAGGAGAGCTCCATGCTGACCTGTGTTGAACATGTAATGTGAGCAAGAAATAAACCTTGGCTGTGTGAGCCACTGAGATTTGGGGATTGTTTATTATTATAGCAAAACCTAACCAATCCTGGCTCAATCTGTTCCCAGAGAACAAGTGTCCACTCAGGGTCAACAACAGTCCAGCCTCTTCTAAGTCTTCTCTAACCTGGATAGCCCCCAGTTTTTCCAGCTGAGCCTTCAGTTTGCTGACCTCTCACCTGATCTCTTCTTCCAGACACACTGCAGTGTGGAAAGGGAACACCATCACCCAGGAGCAATTTGTAAAATCTATTATCCCTTCCCCCTTCTCAGTATTCTTTATTTTTACTTTTATTTATTTATCTTTTTTGAGATGGAGTCTTGCTCTGTTGCCCAGGCTGGAGTGCAGCGGCGCGATCTCGGCTCACTGAAAGCTCTGCCTCCCAGTTCACGCCATTCTCCTGCCTTAGCCTCTTGAGTAGCTGGGACTACAGGCGCCTGCCACCACGCCCGGCTAATTTTTGTATTTTTAGTAGAGATGGGGTTTCACCGTGTTAGCCAGGATGGTCTTGATCTCCTGACCTTGTGATCTGCCCGCCTTGGTCTCCCAAAGTGCTGGGATTACAGGTGTGAGCCACTGCGCCCAGCCCTTTCTCAGTATTCTTTCTACCTCAGTGATGCAGCCAATGATTGCACTGAGCCTTCAGCAGGCAAACAAGGCTAACCCCATCCCTGGGTTCCGTTCTGGACCTGCCTGGTTCTAATTCTTTGGGCTCTGGATAAAATGAGGCTTCAATATGTAGAGGTAGATTGACCTAGTTCTGGGTTTCCTTCTGTCTTGACACTACTACTAACTTACCGGGTCACTATGGGCAATTTACCTAACCTCTCTGAGCCTGTCTTCTCAAATGAAGGCTAGAAGTAATAAGACCAACTTTGAGATGGCGGTAAGCATCAGGTACAGCACCCAGCACCTCCCTGGTGCCTGGTGGGCCTGTGCAGATGTTATTGCCTTTTATTTTTCCCTCACCCCCATCTCTTTCAGGCTCACAAGATGGAGAAAGGGGAAGGCATTTCTGGAATGAGGCCCCAGTCGGCTCCTGCACCATTGCTCTGTCCCAATCTCTGAGTTTTAGGCCAGCCAGAGGCCCTTCTAGCCCCCCTTCCAGGTCACAGCTGTCTGTTCTCCCTTCCCTTGTCACAGGGGCTGCCCCATGGGGCTGCGAGAGAGGGAGGGGGATTCCAGGCTGCAGATGTCCAGGACTCAGAGAAGTCTGCAGAGCTAATCCTGGGGCTGCTGGCGAGGCCAGGCCAGGGCCTTAGAAGTGGCTTTCAAGAGGTCCTCTCCTGCCTGCCGGCAGCGTGTGGCTCAGCTCGAATTTCCGAGGCCCCCAACTCAGGAACAGCTGCGTGGCTTCCCCTCTCCTCCCTCTGTTCCCTCCTTTCTTCCCCATACATGAGTCAAAGAGACAGCCAGGCAGGGCTAGCCAGGGGTCTGGACAGAATCCAGAAGTCTCCAGCCACTCAACCCTGGTCTCTCTGAAGCCTGGGGAGCTCAGACACCTGGGGTTTCTTGGGCCTTTCAACTCCAGACATATTCCTGCTGCTCTTCATTTGGCCAAAAACCTCTGGCCCAGCTTTGATGTTTGCCTTTTTGTCCACCCCTTGGTTCTCTGGCTGGGCAGGCTTCCTGGGACACCTTCTACCCAGTGTGGTGGGGCGGGACCTGCCTTGGGGTGGAGCCTCCTAGTTTGGTAGTACGCCCACCCACAAGCCTTCCCAGCCTCCTCCTTCCCCCAGGTCCCTAAATGTCCCTTCCAACTGCCTCCCAGAGCAACAACCTCTGACTCTCCTTTCCATGTCCCTATCAACATCTCCACACCCACCCCAGGGAAAGGCGAGAGAGAGAGTGTGTGTGTGTGTTACACGTGTAATGCTTGTTACATGAAAAGCTTGTTTGGTTATATCCTTAACTATCTTGCTGGGTTTTTTTTGACAAATAAGGAAACAAGAGCCAGACAGGGTGGGAAATTTGACTGGTTCACAGAAAGAGGAAATGGTAAAGCCAGGATTTAAACCCAGTTGTGATGATTCTGAGCCCATGCTCTTTCTTCACGCCACCATGTGGCCTGGAAAAGACCTGCCACACACCTGCCCAGGAGCATGCAGGGAGTGAGTGATTCACCCCCTGCCCCAGATACAAGCGGCCCATGACCAGGGACTCAGGCCACTTCCACAGAACACGCTTGGTCCAGAGTGACAGTGAGGAGAGAATGACTTGGCTGGTGCAGGAGACCCCCATGCTAGTTCCTCTTGGTGATGGGTCCCCAGGGTGAGGCATGAATCTGCTCCCGCTGGGCCTCCAGTCTCCCTCACAGTACAAGTTCATTTAGGTGCTGGGAGTGACCCTGGGGGAACAGATGGTGCTGCATGATCATACATGATCCTGAAACACAAGCCAGCTACTCCTTCTGGTGTCCACCAAAGAAACAGGGATCCAAGCCAAGCTGGGGGGAAAATCTGCCCTTGCAGGTTTACTGAGGGACTGTATGGGGAATTCTACTAGGTGTCTCCTAAGATACTTTTTTTTTGAGACAAGGTCTCTGTCTGTCACCCAGGCTGGAATGCAGTGGTGTGATCTCAGGTCACTGCAGCCTCAAACTACTGGGCTTAAGCAATCCACCCATTTCAGCCTCCTGAGTAGCTGGGACTACAGGTGGGTACCAACATGGCTGGCTAATTTTTGTATTTTTTGTGGAGTTGGGGTTTCAACATGTTTCCCAGGATGGTCTTGAACTCCTGAGCCCAAGCATCATGCCCACCTCGGCCTCCCACAGTGCTGGGATGACAGGCCTGAGCAGCCGGCCCAAAGATACCTTCAGGGGAAAGACTGACTCTACACAGTCCCAACCTTGGGATGATAAACTAACCCCAAACATGGAGTAGTAGGTGGCCCCTTACTCCCAGCAAGTCCTTCTCTAATGGTGAGATTCCAGGACAGGGGAGAAGTCTAGGGAGAGAGACTGGGGACATGCGGCCTTCCGGGACCTCAGTCTCACACCACCGGGTCCTGGGCTCCCTGTTGTCTCTTATCAATCTAGGTTTCCAGCGTGGTGCAGTGAAGGAGTGTGTGACCCAGGCCCCAGCCGCACTCTGCAATGACACCATGGGCAAGTCCCTTAAACCCGCTCCAGACCTCAGTTTCCTCATCTGTCAGCTGAGACTACTGGACAAATGACCAGATGAAGTTCTAGAGCCCTGGAGGACTCTGTCTGGGCTGGAGACAGCTCAAGACCCTGCCCAGGAAGCAGAATGGCTTCTAGTGCTGGCTACATCTGGCCTGAGGCTGCTTGCTTATGGTTTGGGACTGGTTACCAGATCTGCTTCCAGGGATGGTGTCATCGCCTCATTTTATAGGTGAGAAAAACCCCTTTGTTTCCCGAGGGTCCTGTGCAGCCTTCCCTGCCCCTCCAGCTCCTACTACCTCTACCTTCTGTCTGTCCCTCTGTTCTGAAGCTCCTGTGTTCTGTCCTTGTCCTACTCAGGCCTGCTCTTCTCTGAGGCCACAGGCTCAGGGCTCTGCAGGCCTCTTCATCATGTCCCAGGAGCCCCAACCCTCAAACAACTGCCCATTTCCCTTTCCTCTGTGTCAAAACTCCATGTTTCGGCCTGCAATTGTCACAGGCCCAATGGACCTTTCACACCAGCTGGCTGAGCTTGAACAGGTCACTTGAGCCCAGAGCCTGGACACGTGTGAAACAAAGACTGCAATAATCTCACAGTGACTGGAGCAGCTGTCTCACACTGGGTGCTTACTGAGACAGGCTGGACACCATGTCCTCACCATCAGCCCATGAAATGAGAGCCATCTCTCTCCCATGTCGAGCTTGAGAATGTGCCTGCCTGACAGAGGTGTAGGACTGCCTCAGCAAGGGCATAGTATACAATAGGTGCTTAATAAATGGGGACAATTGTGTTAAGATTTGTGGAACCCCAGGGGCAGTGGCTCAGCATCAGGTGGTTTAAAAACCCTCTGCCAGGTCAAGGCTGGCCTGGAATTGAAGGAGGATAGCAGAGGAGGGTGTTTGGTGGGCCCTGCAGTGGGAAGCTAGAGGTGGCCAAGGCTGGGGAGGTGGGCGGTGCAGGTACCCTGCGCCTACTGCATTAGCCCCATTTTTAAAAATTGAGATCACATTACAAATAATTAGCCATTTGATGAGTGGCATTTAGTATATTGACACTGCTGTCAACCTCTGTGCAACCTCTATTTAGTTCCAAAACGTTTTTCACCACCTGAAAAGGAAACCGCAGAGGCATTAAGCAGTCACTCCCCATTCTCCTGTCCCCACAGCCCCTGGCCATTGCTCAATCTGTTTTCTATCTCTATGGATTTACCTGTTCTAGGTGTTTCATACACATGGAATCACACACTACATGACTTCTTGAGTCCGGCTTCTTACACGTAGCGTCGCATTTTCAAGGTTCCTCCTTGTAGCCCAGGTCAGTACTTCATTCCTTTTTATGGCTGAATAACATGTCATTGTATGGACAGACCACATCTTGTTTGTCCATTCATCCACTGATGGACATTTGGGCTGTTCCATCGTGGGCTCCTTTTTGAAGTGAAAGTCATTGAAAGCCTGGAGTAAGTCCTGCTATCACCACTCACCCCTTGGGAGGAGGCACAGCCCCATCCAGAGTCCTCTTCCCATAAAGTGTCCTCTCCTGGCAGCTTCTGTGGCTGCCATGGTGCTCACTGGAGCAGCTGCTGGACAGGGAAGTGGAGAGCACTTACAAGTTGCTTTGCTTTTATTCAGATCTCATGGACAAGGACAGTGGGAGAAGAGGATGGGAAGAGAACAGGAAGGTGGAGGGAGAGGGATGGGGTGAGGATGATCTCCCACAGAAGCTTCTGGAAACTCCTGGCTAGTGACTGGAGTCCAACAAGGCACAAAGCCTAGTTGTGCTCAAGTCTCACTGAAGCCTACCTGAGCTTCATCAACTGGACAGGGCTTGGCTTTTCCAGGTGGGGAAACTGAGTCCCAGGGAGCAGCAGTGGCTTCCCAAACTGCAGCTGAGTCGGGGATGAAACCTGGAAATTTAGTTGTTCAGTGTGGGTTTACTCTGCCTTCCAGCACAGGGCATGGTGTAAGCTTGGAGGGACCACCCTACCTCCCTAGTGGGCTCAGTCCACAGCCGGGGAAGTGTACGAGTGTCAGCTCCTCCCATTAGATAGGTGATAGAGTCAGCAAGGGATCTGGAGCCATGAGTTCCAGCCACCACCTGCTCCTCCTGCAAGCATCTTCTGCCCTCGTGCCTTCCTCTCCTCACCTATAAACACATTTATTCCCTGATAGGTGGCTGGAGGGCCCAAATGAGACCATACCTGTGAAAGGGTTGGTAGGTTGTAAAGTCAAACACACTAACTCTTTTGGCTCATCATGGCCCAGACAGGCAAGGTCCAGCTGTCTTCTTTTCCTGGAGGGAGATTTGCTCTGTCCCAAAGGGATATTTGCCTCACCCACCTCTGGGCCTGGCTTCAAGCCCCTTTGGCCAGTAACACACTTGAACAAAACCCTTGCTCCTAGCCCCACCCCAGCCCCAGGGAAAGGACTGTACCTGATCAGCATTAATCTGCCCTTGTCTCGCCAGACTCAGGCTTAGTTAAGTCCATCCCTGGCCAGTAGCTCTGTCTCCGTAAAATGAACACAATATTTCCCCCTGCTCCCTCCCACCCATGGCTGCGCCTTCCCAACAGGCTGGGCGGTGAGCCATTGACTGGGCCTCCCATCCTCAGCTACCAGAGGCTGCTCCCCGGCCTTAGCCACCTCTAGGTCATGAGTGAGAGGTCGAGGGTCCACACATCTGGATCACAGGCCTAGGCTCTTGTGGAATGTCAATGTTAGGGTCCCCTCCTCACTCCCTTCCTTGCACACGTTTTTTGCACTCCTGAATGTCATATACTATTCTAGGCACATGGAGAAATAAAAGTCTCTGCCCTCCTGGAGCTTCTATTCTAGTGAGGGGAAACAAATATGAAATTTATACAGGAAGGAAATTGTACAGAATGTTAGAAGGTGATAAGTGCTATTTAAAGACAAAGAGAAAAGGCACTGCAGTAAGGGGGGTCAGGAGTGCAGTGGGGGCAGAGGGGAAGCGGCAGCAGCGCAGTTTGGAAGAGGGAGATCTGGACAGGTGTTCCTGAGAGGGCAACAGCTGAGGCGAACACCAGACGTCCCCCTACCAGAGGATTGACGTTTTTAGAGTGCTGGCGTCGCACACTAGTTTTCACTTTTTCCAGGGTCAGGAAGACACAGAGTTACGGGTGTAGCTATTCTGCGTCATGTTGGGAGGTGTCTTTCTCCCCTATGGGCTGTTCTCCTGGAGTTCAGGGAGGCTGTGTGGCCTAAAAGGGGTCTGTGTGGCGGGCACCTGTAGTCCCAGCTACTCGGGAGGCTGAAGCAGGAGAATGGTGTGAACCCGGGAGGCGGAGCTTGTGGTGAGCCGAGGTCGTGCCACTGCACTCCAGCCTGGGGACAGAGCGAGACGCCGTCTCAAAAAAAAAAAAAAAAAGTCCACTAGGAAAAAGAGATTTTTCCTTAACTATATGGAGCTTCTCTAGGAAAAGAGAAAGACCCTCTGAAATAAATCTTAGAAACTAGGTTTCAGTGCTAGCCCAACTGGTTGCCAGTTGTATGCCACTGGGTAAGTTACTTTACCACCTCGAAACCTCAGTTTCTTCATCTGCAAAATGGGAATGAAAAACCGCTTTTCTGAAACTTCTCCAGTTGAGTAAAATTCTATGTGAAATTGCTTTGTAACCTAAAAAAATACCAACGTAAAATAGATTTATCTATAAATTGTATATGCCTTGTTGTGTGAGCCAGGCAGGCAACTTGGAAGGTGGAGACAGGAATGGGGGCATGTCTTCTCTGTTGTCTTCTTCCCCGACTTCCTTTGGGTCAGGGAATCCCATGCTCCATGGGATGTGAAGTGATCGAGCGGGGACCCTACTGCCTCCAGGGGAGGGCTTAATGGAGTCACACAGGAAGTAAGATGCTGCTGTACAGTGGGCTAGCTCTTATCGTCTTGGGGTCCAGCAGGAAGTGATTCTTACCAGCAACTGCCCTCACCATGAACTGTCCAGGGATAAGAAGATGCAACCAGTGAGGGGGAGAACAGCAATGCAAGACAAAAAGGCTGCCTCAAAGAGAGGCAGAGAGCTGCAGAATCATCCAGCACTACCCTGCCCTGCTCAGGGCTAACACCAGCATTTTGCAGAGGGCACTAGAAGGAAATCTATACTGGATGAGAACGTCCCTGAGCAAGGTTAGAGCTGCTCTGGACAATCTCAGGGCTGGGAGTCCTATTCAAGAAGAGGACCAGCTCTCTTCTGGCCAATGTAAAACCATGCAGTGAGCTCTTTAAGCCTCCTTAAAGATGGACACTCTGCAATTATCAAAATTATACCTCTGGTAGGTACAGGTTGACAGCTCTGAGCCACTACTAGTTTGAGTGCCTCTCAACTAGCAGTCTTAATGACAGCATTCTGGAGCTGGGCAGTAGCCCTGAGGCTTTGGGGACCAGAACCTCATCTTTATGGTCCAAAATGGCCCACTGTGTGTCTGCATCAAAACAGCAGGGTACTGTGGGGCAAACCACAGTCCCTGTCACGGGGCAAGGAAAGGAGCCCCTACTCTGGTCACTCTATTTGTCACTCCCTGGACCCTCATACTTCTTTCTTTGCCTTTCTGTCTGCCCTGTGCCCCAGGAGGCTCACTCCTGCAGGCTAAGTCTCTCTGACTCTTTGCCATTGGTTTTTGGTTAACCAATGGGAGGTACCATGGAACTCTGGACGGTGGGAGGAGAGAAGCTGGGGGTGTTTCCACCCAGCGTCTTGCAGCTGCATGATCTCCAGGGTTGCTGTTCACTTGGGTGACTCCTCTTTCATGGCTCCAGCTCTTAAAAAGTCGGGGACATTTCCTCTCCTAACCCCTTCAGCCTAGGGGTGCTAAAGTCTTCCCACTGTTGCTAGTTTCTGGGAGCCTCTCCATTCCCCATATTGTCCCTTAACCTGCCACCTCTGTCAGTATTGCTTTATAGTGTCTTCATGGGAGCCATCTGGAGTGATTCTGTTTCTGCAGAGAACCTGATGAGTGCAGCCCCCAAGGGGAAATTATGTACACACATCTGGTTCAGATGGAATAGTCCTGACTCCTGGAGCCTATGTTCTGACTCGTCATTATCAACCTTTCCTCTTCTCTCTTTGCAGAATTCTGCCCTCTCCAACTATTTTTTTCTTCTAGATGTGCTGTGCATCACCAGAGTCTTGGCCTGAGCATGCAGTTGCAATTTAACATCTTCCAACAAATGCAAAATGACTGTCTCAGTGGCTGAATGAATTGGCTGAGAGTGGAGGACCTGAAGGGATGAAGCTGCCTTTGGGGCCAGGTGGCTGGCTGCGGTGGCTCACGCCTGTAATCCTAGCACTTTGAGAGGCAAAGGCAGGGGATTGCTTGAGCTCAGCTGTTCAAGACCAGCCTGGGCAACATGATGAAACCCGTCTTAAAAGAAAGATAGAAAGAAAGAAAGAAAGAGAGAGAGAGAAGAAAAGAAAGAAAGAAAGAAAGAAAGAGAAAGAAAGAAAGAAAGAAAGAAAGAAAGAAAGAAAGAAAGAATAAAAGAAGGAAATTAGCTGGGCATGGTGGCATGTGCCTGTAGTCCCGGCTACTCAGGAGGCTAAAATGGGAGGATTGCTTGAGCCCAGAGGATCAAGGCTGCAGTGAATCAAGATCACGCCACTGTACTCCAGCCTGGGCAACAGAGCAAGACCCTGTCTCAAAACAAAGAAACAAAAGAAACCAAACAACTTAGGGACCTTAGAGTCACCGTTGACATCCTTCATGCAGGACTCACATGATCCTTCATGTAGGAGTCATGTATGTGAGCAGCCTCCCTGGAAGACAGCCAGCCAATTGTTGTTTGCATACTTTCAGCGATGGAGAGCTCAGTACATCTTTAAGCAGTTCATTCTATTACTAAATGCCTTAGTCTAATTATAAATTACAGTCAAAATCTGTGTTCCTCTAATTTCTCTTCATAGGACACAGCTGTGAACTTCATACACAGCTGTGAACTTCATACGTGACAGTCCTTCAAAGACTCAGTGATTGTGTCCTCCTGAGTCATCTTTTTCTCTAGGCATCTCATGTCTTGCCCCGTCTCCATGTGGCTTCCAGGTGATCCCCTTTCCTTCTTCCCTTCTAATCTTGGTAGGAACCCTTTACAGCAGGGGTCCCCACACCCTGGCCGAGGACTGGTCTGTGGCCTGTTAGGAATGGGGCTGCACAGCAGGAGGTGAGTAGCAGGCAAGTGAGCGGAGCTTCATCTGTGTCTACAGCCGCTCCCCATCCCTCTGATTACTGCCTGAGCTCCACCTCCTGTCAGATCAGTGACAGCATTAGATTCTCATAGGAGCATGAACCCTATTGTGAACTGTGCATTCAAGGGATCTAGGTTGCCGGCTCCTTATGAGAATCTTACTAATGCCTAATGATCTGAGGTGGAACAGTTTCATCCTGAAACCACCCCTAAATCCCACTTGATCATGGCATATTATCTTTTTGATTCATTGTTAGATTCAGCTTGGTAGTATTTTGTTGAAAATGTTTTCATCTATGTTCATTAGGAATACCGCCTGTAGTGTTTTTTTGTGTGTGTGTGTGTCCTTGTCTTGTTTGGGTATCAGGGTAATGCTGGCCTTATAGACTGAGTTGGGAAGAATTCCCTCCTCTTTAATTTTTGGGAAAAGTTTGAGAAAAATTGTTTTTTTTGTTTGTTTGTTTGCTTGTTTTGGTATTTGCAGAACTTTAATTGCCAAGGCAGAATACATTCCAATAAATGAAAAAAAATGGATAAACAAATAGACACATTAGAGAATTTCTAAGGTTCAATTAACATGTGAGAATTTCTTAACCTCTCAACCATCAGGAAAATGGATATTACAACCACAACAAAGCCACAAGTCATTGGATCAAGAAACGTTAAAAAGTCTCACAATCCTAAATGTTGGCAAAGACGCTGACCATCAGAAGCACTGGGAAAAGCCCTTTACAAAGCTCTCAAGCAGCATTCACTAATGCCAAATATCCCAGTGGACAGTGGTTCCAATCCCAGCAAAGAAATGCTCAGGCTCAATTCAAATGAGAGGCAGGTACATTCACAGCAGAGCCACCTGTGATGGCCGCACAGTGAAGACAGCAAATGCCCACCTGCAGCAGAGTGGGTGAAGGGCGGTGCATTTGCTGCAGAAAGTTATCAGTGGTGTAGACCAGCCACTCCAGGCCCACTGGGATCTGTAGGACTTTGCAGGCACAGGCCCCTTACCAACCCAGTGGTTACCTGGGGTCTGAATAGTTTTCATTCACAGAGATATCCTCCTCTTGGTACTGAAACCCTGAGTCTTTTTTGTCCATAGAGCCCTGCCCTTCTTTGTACTGAGACATCATCGTGAAGACTGACGTCTAGAGGTGGGAGCACCTCCGTGAAGTGAGGGAATAACTGAGTGTCTGTCAAGAAGTCGGAGGCATAGGGGCTCTGAGGCCACAAGGGGCCTGGGGCTGGGGCTGGGAGTGATCCTGGGCGTGGGCCTAGAACTGGGACTGGGCCTGGGAGTGAGCCTAGGCTTGGCATCCAACCAGAGCTTAAGATGGGGCCCGGGTCTGGGATTCTCTCATGCCTGGGATCTCAGCACTTTGGGAAGCTGAGGCAAGTGGATCACCTGAGGTCAGGAGTTTGAGATCAGCCTGGCCAACATGGTGAAACCCCATCTCTACTAAAAATACAAAAATTAGTCGGGCGTGGTGGTGGGTGTCCATAATCCAGCTACTTGGGAGGCTGAGGGAGGAGAATTGCTTGAACCTGCGAGGTGGAGGTTGCAGTGAACTGAGGTTGCACCATTGCACTCCAGGCTGCGCAGCAGAGCGAGACTCTGTCTCAAAAAAAAAAAAAAAAAAAAAAAACAGGAAAGTCTGTTCTTGTTCCGTGCATGTTTTCCTAATGGACTGTTTGGTTATTTCTCATTTTTGAACTCCAGATATTTGTGAAGTCAGCCCTTTTCCTGTGATCTGAGTTACAAATATTTGTCCAGTGTGAATTGCCTTTTGATTTTTCTTATGGTGCTTCATGCCATGTAGATTTTTTTGAATTTGTGTAGTCAGATTTAGTAATGAATTTATTTTATGGTTTTTAGATATTGAGTCATGGTTAGAGGGACTCCAATCACCCCACCCACTTCAAGGTTAGAATGGAATTCTCTCACATATTCTTCCAATACTTTTATGTTTTCTAACCAACTTTCATGAGATATAATTTACATATAACAAAAGGCATCTATTTAAAGGATACAAGTTGATGAGGCTTGACAGATGTACATCCTCATGACATCATGATTTTTCTTTAAGTATTAAATCATAATGCATTTGGAATTTATATCACTGTCTACTTTGAGAAAAGGACTAAATTTTATTTATTTATTTATTTATTTAAGACAGAGTTTCACTCTTGTCACCCAAGCTGTATGTAGTGCAGTGACGTGATCTTGGCTCACTGCAACCTATGCCTCCCGGGTTCAAGTGATTCTTCTGACTCAGCCTCCCGAGTAGCTGGGATTACAGGCACCCGCCACCACACCCTGCTTAATTTTTGTGTTTTTAATAGAGATGGGGTTTCACCCTGTTGGCCATGCTGGTCTCAAACTCCTGACCTCAGGTGATCTGCCCACCTTGGCCTCCCAAAGTTCTGGGATTACAGGCATGAGTCATCGCGCCCGGCGTATTTTATTCTTTCAGTTTTCAGATGATTGGCCAGGTGTCTGAACACCCTGCATTGAGATGTTTCCTTTGTCCCATTCTCTATTTCTGTATGGATTTCTGTCTACATCTGGACTTCCTCTTCTATTTGTCTGTCCATATATACACGTTTACTACACAGTTTTAATAATTGAAGCTTTGTAACTGAATTACCTTTAATAAATGGTACCAGCTCCAATACCAATTATAGCAGAAAACATGGTCCCCTGTATTAGGTATTTGAGAGCAAGATGGATGTTCTGGATGCTCGAGCTGAGTTTCTTTCCCTATGCCAGGCCTCCTTTTTACTCTTAGAGAAAGGTACCCCATTTTATAGATACAGAAAGTGAGGTGAGATCAAGGAAGGTCAGTCCCCAACTGTGCCAGCTCTGAATTTTGTAGGGTTTAGGAGCACCCAGCCTCAAATGCCCATTTGTGGATGAGAAAACTGGTTCTGGGTGGAGATAGAGACATGTGGAAAAGACAGATCTGATGATGCATTATCACTCAACCACTCACTCATTCATCACTTCACCCCAGCACAGACTGACCGTGTGCTAAGGCCAAGCCCTGCACTGGGGCAGAGAAGGGGCTGCTCCGTCCCCTGGGATCTCACGGTGGGCTGGAGGGAAAGGCGAGGAAGCACTGAGGGACAGGAGGATGTGACTGTGGTGGGAATAGAGGGAGGAACGGGGCTGTGGGCGCCCACAGTGGGGCCTCATGGTCTTAGCCTGGGCCCCCCTTCCAATGCTGAAAGTAGGGCAGGTGCCCAGGACTTTGCAGCAGGAGGACTATTTCGAAAAGTGAATCCAGGGAGCAGAGTGAGGGTCTGGGAAAGTAACGGAGGAGAAAAAAGCTAAGGGTATACTGTAGAGATGACCACATTGAAGGCAACTGAGGCTTAACACAGTGTGATCTCTAGGACAGCATCTAGAAAGTGCATCACGGCCAGGTGTGGTGGCTCATGCCTGTAATTCCAGCACCTTGGGAGGCTGAGGCAGGCAGATTACCTGAGATCAGGAGTCTGAGACCAGCCTGACCAATATGGTGAAACCGCATCTCTACTAAAAATACAAAAATTAGCTGGGCGTGGTAACTAGTGCCTGTAATCCCAGCTACTCGGGAGGCTGAGGTGGGAGAATTGCTTGAACCCGGGAGGTGGAGGTGGCAGTGAGCCCAGATCGTGCCCCTGCACTCCAGCCTTGGTGACAGAGAGAGACTCTGTCTTAAGAAAAAAAAAGAAAGAAAAAGAAAGAAGGAAAGAAAGTGCATCAGACTGTGCATGTCTCTCTCTCAGTGAAAAAGGGAGAAGCATTTAACTCCAGGTTCCTGTCTCCATTGGTTGAGGGCTGTCCTGTGGGAACAGGGCAGGAATCCACCCGGGGTGTGTGGATCTGGTGACAGCCAGCACGCATGGACTGTTTGCCAGAGCTGTGGCTGGAATCTGGAGCCAGGTGAGAACA
The DNA here is from genome assembly GCF_000001405.40 of Homo sapiens. Lineage (NCBI taxonomy): Eukaryota > Metazoa > Chordata > Mammalia > Primates > Hominidae > Homo > Homo sapiens. Next base: position 79,502,578 of record NC_000010.11, read on the forward strand.
GATGAGGCTGGACAAAGGGTCTCAGCCTGGTTCCCAGGTATGGGACTTGACGGCCACCTAGCTGGCCAGGATGGGAAATGCAGCAGGGACCAGGACAGCGAGGGAGGCTGCTCTGGGTCCCCACCCCACAGAGGAGGCAAACCTGTGACAGGGCAGCCCTTTCCCCTGGAAGTCCCTGCTTCAGGGACAGACCCAGAGGCTCCACACAGCAACCCAGCCACAAGGGAGGCCTACGTGTCCCCATGTGATGGGCTTTCAAGGCCCCAAGGAGGTCACGGCTTGGAGTGCAAGAACTCCTCCCAACTGCTGTGCCGCCCCCCCTCCACCTCCTGCCGGCTCACTGCTTTGTTCCCTGCTTTCTCTTTCTCTGCTTCTCTCTGCTTCTCTCTGCCTCCCTCTTTGTCCTTCCTTTCTCTCTTTCTGTGACCCTGTCTTCAACAACTCTTTCCCTTCCTCTATTGTGCTGTTTGTCTGTGATTCTCTCCAGCCTCCTCTCCCTGTCTCAGTCCTCTCCATCTCTCTTGTTTCCTCTGTCTTCATTCCTCTCTTCTCTTTTACTCTCTGCCTTCCTCTCGGTATGTGGATCACTGGCCAGCTCTCTGGACACCTCCCTCCCTCCAGCTCCCTTGGTTCTCACTGTGGGTCCTTCTGTCTTTGTCTCTTCCAGCTTTCCTTTTCTCCCCCTGGGCCCAAATCAACTTCTCTCCATGACTCCATCCTCCCATCTCCATCTCTCTCTCTCTCCCCTCACCCTCCACCTTCTCTCTCTCTCCCTTCTCTCTTTCTCTCACTGTTTCAACCCCTCTCTCTCTATCCTCCCTGTCTTTCTCCTTCTCTTTGTCCTTCCCCTCCCTCTCTCATCCCTTCTCTCTCATCTTCTCTCTGCCTGTCCCGTCCTCTGACTGACCTCACCCCTGCGTTCTTCACTCCTCTCCAGTCCAGCTCAGTTAGCCTCTCACCACCGATCTCTGCCTATCACACAATTTAAAAATTACAGGAAGATGGTGGGGGGCACAGGACTTATGGAGAAATGTCTACACCCAGCTCAGCTTCCCTTAGAGCCGCCTGGAGTTGGTGCTACCGGGGGGCAGCTGGCTCAGTGGGGCATGGGCTCTGACAAACCCTGAGTCTCTGCGAGGCTCCTTAAGGGCTCCACAGCCGCTGCTGGGCCCTTCTATTCCCTGTCAGAAGTTGGCCACCTCATGGGGATGTATTACTGTCTATCTGCTCACAAGGCACCACTGGCAGTCACTAGGAACACAGTGACTCTTTCTAGAATGAATGAGCACAACCTCCACCCGTGGCTGGATACAGGATATTCCCCCACCCCAGAAGTCCCCCTCGGGCCCTTACCAGTCAACACTACCCAAAGGGTAACCCTGCTTCTGTGTCCAGCAAGGCAGTATCTGCCTGAGTTTGAATAGTGTACGAGGAGTCACACCTGGTATACCCTGGGGTGTGAACTGGTCCTCCAGGAAGCAGACACCCAGAAAGATAGGACTGCAAATGTTTCTAAAGGGAAACACTGGAAATGAGAGAGAGAGGAGGGAGCACGGGGCATGGAGCATCAAATATGGTGGAGACTTTTCCAAGATATCATGGCCCAGGAGACTCTTCAAATTTCAAAATTATCCTGTAAGGTAAAAAGATTTCGGTTTATTTCCAGGTGACCTTCTTTTGCCCAATATACATTTTGTCTTCTATGAAATATCTGTGCCCCTGCTGAATACTTCTGTGTGTGGCCATATCTGTGTCTGTATGTCATGGAGAATAATTATCCACAGATCACAGATACAAATCTCAGAGTTTAACTGTGTATGCATTTTTAGGATCTCTTCATCTCGTAAGGATCTGAATTCTAATCTTGGAGACAGGGGCTTTCCCTTATCTTTTGAAAGAGAAACTGGAAATCCCAGAGCCTGAGCTGCTACACCCTAAGGTTTATTAAATGAACTTCAATGAACACCTTTTGCTGATCTTCTGAGTGGAAATATTTTCATTTAACCAGCGGGAGGGGTGAGGCTCTACCATCTACCAGCTATTTTGCAAGATGCCTTCCTTATGAGCTTGGTCTCCCTGTCCTCACCATGACCTCATAATCGCATCATTCCCAGCTCATTTCTGAGAAAGCTGGGGCTCTGAGCTCTACTGAGAGTTGGTGTCTGGGCTTAGGCAGCAAAGACACAGGGAAGGGGAAGCATTTTGCCTGCCAAGGTTGGGAGATGCAAAGCTGAGAGTTGTAGGTGGGAAGGAGAGGGTGCAGGAGATCAGAGTAGGTCACAGCAGCTCAGGATTGGCCTTGAGTTTCCAGCCAGAGTTGGCCTCATTCTGAAGGCCAAGGCCGCAGCTCCACTGAACCAGACCCATCCTCATTGTTAGTCTCCTTAGGCCGTGAAAACTCAGGGAGACAGGTTCCCCTGACAGAACCAAGTTAAAATTTTCAGACCTCTAGGCATTCATTCACCCCGATCTAGAGCCTTCATGCACCCAGGGAAAGAATCATCTTCCTACCAATAATGGACTAAAGGCTGTAGGGCAACAAGGAAGTGCTGGGGTGGTAATTTCCTGTGCACAATGTGGTATCTGAGCTCCCATGGCAGCTCTGTGTGGCCCTCACCGCAGCCTCCATGCTCCTGCTCACGCTGCTTGCCTGGCTAGGAGCAGCCTTCCAGCTCTACCTGAGTTCAACAACCCCCCATGTCACACCTCCCTGCTTCAGCTTTCTCTTCCACGGCCTCCTGTTTACTCCCAGGAGATTCTGTCTCCTCCTTCTGCACCCTGTGTCCCTTCACTTGTGTTTCCATTGGGCTGGTCAGAAGCTCTGTGCCCTTCAGTGTGGGTCTCTCTGCTGCAGCACACAGGATGCCCTGCCAGTCAGGGATGGGTCTCATCCCTCACAGAGCTGGCCATATGGCCCAGGTTCCACACAAGCCTGCAAAGCTTGTATTTCTAGCTTCTATAAACAATCTCTGGCTGGGCACAGTGGCTCACACTTGTAATCTTGGCACTCTGGGAGGCCAAAGTGGGCAGATGGCATGGCTCCAGGAGCTTGAGGCCAGCCTGAGCAACATGGTGAAACATGGTCTCTACAAAAAGTAAAACAAAAAAACATTAGCCAAGCATGGTGTTGCACACCTGTAGTCCCAGCCACTCTGGAGGCTGAGGTGGAAGGATCACCTGGGCCCTAGAGGCGGAGGTTGCAGTGAGCCAGGAGTGCACCCCTGCACCCCAGCCTGGGTGACAGAGTGAGACTCTGTCCCCCACCAAAATAAAATAAAAAAAAAAACTCTTTCCTTATCTACAGAAGATACCTGCTGCCAAAGTCATAATGAGAAAATAATGCAACTGATTTGTAGTCTCAGAAACTTGAGCAAAGTGACCACATCCTCAGCCAGTGCTACCCTCATATTGCAAAGCCTTGCAGTACAATCTGTGACATTTCTATTCATTCAAAAAAGGAAAGATGAGTCCATTTTGCAACTTAGTTCATACTGTTCAGATAAACATACCAAGTGGTACATGTGGAGTTGGTGGTTGAGGTCTTACAGGCCACAATGGGTAGAGGAGCTGGTTGAGGTCCCAGAGGAGTTGGTTCAGATAGCAGAGGCCAGGCAAGTGGAGGAGGTGGCAGATGTACTAGAAGAGACCCTGGTGGAGGAGGTGGCTGAAGTCCCAGGGACCACAAGTGGAGATTATTGAAGTAGCTGAGGAGATTCATGTGAAGGTGGTAGTTGAGGGGCCAGAGGCCACCCAGGTAGAAGGGGTGGCTGAGGATCCAGAGATTACTAAGTGGAGATGTAGTCGGAGGTCCCAGAGGCCTCACAGAACAAAAAGGTGAATGATGTCCCAGAGGAAAGGCAGCTATAAAAGATGGATGAGGTCCCGGAGGACAGAAACATGCAGAAGATGGATAAGGTCCGGGAGGACAAGGAGCTGCAGGAGGTGGATGAGGTCCCAGAGGACCAACAGCTGCAGGAGGTGGATGAGATCCCAGAGGACCTACTGGTGCAGGAGATGGATGAGGTCCGAGAGGACCACCAGCTGCAGGAGGTGGATGAGGTCCCAGAAGACCTACAGTTGCAGAAGGTGGATAAGGCCCCAGAGGACCAACAGCTTCAGGAGGTGGATGAGGTCCCAGAAGACCTACAGTTGCAGGAGGTGGATGAGGTCCCAGAGAACCTACCACTGCAGGAAGTGGATGAGGTCCCAGAGGACCAACAGATGCAGGAGGTGGATGAGGTCCCAGAGGACTGACAGCTGCAGGTAGATGAGGTCCGGGAGGACTGACAGCTACAGGAGGTGGATGAGGTCCTGGAGAACTGACAGCTGCAGGTGGATGATGTCCGGGAGGACTGACAGCTGCAGGAGGTGGATGAGGTCCCAGAGGACTGACAGCTGCAGGTCGATGAGGTCCCGGAGGACTGACAGCTGCAGGAGGTGGATGAGGTCCTGGAGGACTGACAGCTGCAGGTAGATGAGGTCCGGGAGGACTGCCAGCTGCAGGAGGTGGATGAGGTCCCAGAGGACTGACAGCTGCAGGTGGATGAGGTCCCGGAGGACTGACAGCTGCAGGAGGTGGATGAGGTCCCAGAGGACTGACAGCTGCAGGTGGATGAGGTCCCGGAGGACTGACAGCTGTAGGAGGTGGATGAGGTCCCGGAGGACTGACAGCTGCAGGTAGATGAGGTCCGGGAGGACTGCCAGTTGCAGGAGGTGGATGAGGTCCCGGAGGACTGACAGCTGCAGGTAGATGAGGTCCGGGAGGACTGATAGCTACAGGAGGTGGATGAGGTCCTGGAGGTCTGACAGCTGCAGGTGGATGATGTCCGGGAGGACTGACAGCTGCAGGAGGTGGATGAGGTCCTGGAGGACTGACAGCTGCAGGAGGTGGATGAGGTCCTGGAGGACTGACAGCGGCAGGTAGATGAGGTCCGGGAGAACTGCCAGCTGCAGGAGGTGGATGAGGTCCCAGAGGACTGACAGCTGCAGGTGGATGAGGTCTCAGAGGACTGACAGCTGCAGGAGGTGGATGAGGTCCCGGAGGACTGACAGCTGCAGGTAGATGAGATCCGGGAGGACTGCCAGTTGCAGGAGGTGGATGAGGTCCCAGAGGACTGACAGCTGCAGGTTGATGAGGTCTGAGAGGACTGACAGCTGCAGGTGGATGAGGTCTGAGAGGACTGACAGCTGCAGGAGCTGGATGAGGCCCTGGAGAACAATCGAGTGGAGGAGGTGGTTAAGTTTTCAGGGGACTCTCCAGTGCAAGAGGTGCTTGAGTTCCCAGAGGACACTCCAGTGGAGGAGTTTGTTGAGGTCCCAGAAAACCTTCAGATGGAGGGAGTGTTTGAGTTCCCAGACAACACCCGGTAGAGGAGGCGGCTGGCAGCCCATCAATGGTCCTGAAGGGCCAGCCATGAGATCGGGCAAGTAGGGCCATTCTGAGAAAGGATGAGCTTCCCTGCAGCCACATTGACCTACAAGTCAGGAGGAGAAAATGTTTTGAAATATATGAATATGATGGACAAAAACACCAAAACCAACACAAGCTGCACCTTATGCCTCGGGTGATAGTCCCTTGCACCTTTCCCTCCTCCAGGTTTCAAAATGGCAGCATGAATGCCATAAAGTCTCCCTTCAACTGAGTCCTGCCAACAGCAGGGGAGTGAAGAAAAGTCGTGGGGACAAACTGCTATCCCCACACGCCACTCTGTCTGCAAATGTACGCAGGCTGGGGGCCTGTCCCTGGGAAGACAGAGTCATAACCCAGTAATAAAGAAGCATGTTTCTGACACAGGGGTGTCTATGTCTATCCTAATTCCTCCCTCACCATCATCACCGGAGCATGTTCCTTGCATCAGATAAACAGAGAGAAACAGAAGCATGAAAAGCCCATTGTCCACACATGAGTCACAGCTACTCTTAAGAGAATGGCCTCCAGGCTTTTCATGTGCTGTCTCTGATTCTCAGAAATCTACAAGGTCAGTGTGACCACCCTGCTCCAAATCTAAGAAAATAGAGGCTCCAGAGGAAGGAGAAATTTCACCTAGCATCACACAGCTTGCAAGAAGCAGAGTGGAAGTCGATTCCAGCTCTGCCTGCAAGACCCTCTCGTCCCCCTTCTGCTTCCCTTCTTGACAAACGGTCTTCTCTACTTTGGAAGCGCCATCCATGGGCACAAAGAGCTCTGGGGAGATGGGGATTCCTGAAGAGCTGCAGGGGAACTGGGAGAGGGTTTTCTGACGGAATAATCTTACATAGAGATATCAGTTTGGCATGGTTATCACATTTCTTTAACTTCTAGGTAATACCAAATTTTAAGTGCACTATGACATAAAGAATAATTTTGTCCATGGAAAAATGAGGTGGGAATTCTCAACAACAGAAGTTTTAAAAATATGTTTGATTTCAAGTGTACAAGTCCCATCGTGTGTGATCAGAGGATTCAGCAGCTGTCGAAGACACAGAGGCCACACGAGAACCAGCTTAATTGAGCATCATTTAAGGCCTTCATTGAGAATTGTCCCTGTAGGTAATGAGTGACGTTCACTCTCCACTACCTCACAGCCAGGGCACATTTTCTATTAAAATATGGAACCTCTGACACTTAGAATATTAGATCAAGGGCAACACTGGGTGAGGGTGGGGGCGTTTTTGCTCAACACAGTTAACAACAGAGATGGGACTGTGATGAATTATGGAATTGACTTTGCCAAAGAACATTCAAAATTGCACAAAGCACATATTAATGTTGGATCAATGAGTTTTCACTTCTGGGATTACGGCGGATATTCTGAAGGTTAATCACTTACCTTATAGCAGAAAAGAAAATCACAGCAAAAAAAAAAAGGAAACCCCACATATTTTGGAAAGGGGATCCCACACCATCTTGAGTAAAAGGGATCAGTCAGGGTCTACTGGGCCATAAGACCTACCTCAGTGGAGTTCAATGGCATCCTCTCATGTTATTTCTGGAAACAGAACAGTGACAGCCCTGCAGCCCTTGGCCCTTAAGCATTTATGGCTTCTGGAGGTGCCACCAAAGATGACCAGCTGGAAATGGAGAAGCCTGAAAGCTCATGGGGAAGATTTTGCTTTCAAAAAAGTCCAGTTAGAAAAGGCACCACAGAACCCAGAGAGCAGAGGACAGGCCAGGAGAGGGCGCTGTAGGAAAAGACAAAACTGTCCTGAACTAGGCAGAGGGAAAATGACTCCAGCATTTACCTTTGTCTTCTCTGTTTTCTGGCTATGTCTTCTGATTCTTTAAGAAAAGAAGAAATATTGATCCATGAAGACATAGCCAGAAAATTTCTGCTCTCATCAGCACTTATGGCTCCCATTCTAAAATGTTACTAGTGTTACTTTTCTCAAATAATAATAAAAAAAATAAAGCCTTCCCACTGACTCAAGGTTGGAAGGGGAGCTGACCCATTTGCCTTCTAGGCTCATCCCCTCAGTTAAAAGTAACCAAGACATCAGGGTGGAATGATGTCCACAGTCAGTGGAGGGGCCTGTGCTCCGCTATTCACAGGGGACCAGCCAAGAGTCATTCAGCTGTGGCACGTGAGAAAAACGGTCCTGCCACCCAGCGGGATAACTGTTCTCTTTAGTAAGTGCTTGGAACTGTTTCCAGGAAACATAACAATAACCCAACCCAAGCCCTCACCCCAGAAAGGAGAAGCAGGGGTGTGGATTGTGGAGCAGAAGTTAAGCGGGTGCCTTCCCAGAGAGCTCCTACCTCTCCAGAAAGGGTTCTCTAGCCCTAGCTGTCCCTGGGCTGCCTCCTGACTCATGTGTCTCTCCAGCACTCCCTGCTTTTCCATCATTTCCTGTCTTGAAGACAGTGAAAGAGTTGACTTGTAGAAGAATTAAAACACTGTTTTCTTTACTAGACAGTCAAAGCTTCATCTTAAAACAAAAACATCCTTAAAATTTGTCCATCACAATCACCTACCTGTGCTGCTTGCAGGCAGCCTTCCTCTCTGCCATCTCCCTCTGCAAGGCTTGAGCACAGAGCTGTGGGGAGAAAAATACATCCATGTCCCGACTTGGCCGAAAAGCAAGGGAAAAATGAACAAACTTACCCAGTTGTTGAGGCCTTTCTTGCAGCAGAAGGGGCGATCTGAAAAAGCCAACACATGAGAAAATGTATGTTGACAGATTCTAGGGGCAGTGGCATCATCTTGATGAGCGTTTAAGGATCCTGCAACTGCAGGAAGGAAGGCTCCTTACCTCTCATCTGTAGGAGTCCTCTACCCACTGCTGCAGCTCTTGTCTGTCTTGAATCGTTTTTCTATGGTTTAGAATCACTTTCATCAGACACAGCATCATCTTTAGTATGATTTTAAATAATCTGCCATGTTCCTGTTGTCCTCACAATTGTACCCTTACACAATCTATCTATACATAGAAAATGTATTTCACATGGCTATAAAAGTACAGTATGATCAAAACTGTTGCTGTAATGCTTCCTCCTCTTTTACTTAATGCCTGCTGGGTTCTGAGTTGACAATTTCCTTACCCATTTTCAGTATGTCCCTAATTCATGCTTCATTGGGCATCTTTTATCATAAAGCTCTATTCTCCTGGAATTAATATCCTTGCCATATTTCACAGGGCAGAAACAGCTGAGCTTATAAATAGGCACAGTCCTTTTGAAGGATGGGTTGATCCTACAACAACACACTTTCCTAAGGATGATGACAACTCGCATCACCCCTAGAACGGCTGGTATGAACCGAGTTTCCACACAGTCTGGCTGGCATTGCAGTCAGGAGATGTTTGGCTACTTCACATGTTTTGAACACTAGTAAATCTTAAGGTACTTGTGTTCTCTGGTGTGAATTGTCTCTCTCTCTAGGTATCGCTTCTGACCATTTGTTTCCATTTCTGTGTTAACTGGGTCTAAACATTGTACAAAGATTTAAAACAAAACACTCCACCAGCGCTTCCCCAAGAGGCTGGTGTCGGTTTCCGAACCCACTTGCAGATGGGTATTTTTTCTAGAGCCAATTTCATGGTTTCTTCCACCTCTGACAGCCGCCTCCCCTTTTCTTCTCGTTCACGTTCTTTCATTCTCAGCTTCCTGAGTCGAGAAGGGAGAGAAATGCATGCACGTGATCCACTGGCCTGTGTGGGATTCCTTGCGGCATCTGAAGGCCGTGATTCAAAGGTCCCCTGACAACCTTCCCATAAATGAACCAACTGATCCTCACAACTGGAGGGAGAATTAACACCTTCCATGGGACAAAGAAAAAGCACATTCTGGCCTGCTGGCAAGTCACCTGTCGTTTCCAGCTCATCTTCATCGCTCTGTATTCCTACTCTTTAGTAAATATGAACTATTAAAAGCTTCTATGAGATGCGCTATGTGTGCTTCTGGGGTCAGTCTTTTGCCTGACATAGCGAAAGCTCATTTTAGTTCAGTGTAGAAAACCAGACCTCACCAGCTCATCACAACTAAACCCATAAGGACGGAGCAGAGGATCACTCCTCGTCTGACTCCTCCCACAGGGAAACCTGATTCTCCATCAGAGGCTGATGCCAGAACCCAGACAATCAGCCTCAGAGAGATCCTTCCAGGACATGCTGTCATTAGCCCTGCGGTTCACTACTGCACATGTCCATGATTCAGGACTGGAACTCTTCTCATCGACTTTAAAGATCCTGGTTGAGAGAAAAGGCCAATCTGAGTGCTGGGTGCATCTACTGAATTGGAAATGATCCAATGGCTCTTTAGTCAGGGTGTTATGTCCTGAAAATAGGTGACAACTGCAAACCATCCTCTGGTGTCCAGAGACTTTAACAAGGTTTGTTTCACACAGACTGAGGGCAGAAAAAAGGAAATGGCCTAAAAAGGTGGGTTTGCTGTGTTGCCTCACACTACTTGATTCATGGTTCTGATTCTAAAAATCTCACTTGATACTTGATTTCATATGAAAGACGTGTAAAATGCCTGGGTAGAGGCGGCGGCGGCGGCGGCGGCGGCGGGCTCGGAGGCAGCGGTTGGGCTCGCGGCGAGCGGACGGGGTCGAGTCAGTGCCGTTTGCGCCAGTTGGAATCGAAGCCTCTTAAAATGGCAGATGATTTGGACTTCGAGACAGGAGATGCAGGGGCCTCAGCCACCTTCCCAATGCAGTGCTCAGCATTACGTAAGAATGGCTTTGTGGTGCTCAAAGGCTGGCCATGTAAGATCGTGGAGATGTCTGCTTCGAAGACTGGCAAGCACGGCCACGCCAAGGTCCATCTGGTTGGTATTGACATCTTTACTGGGAAGAAATATGAAGATATCTGCCCGTCAACTCATAATATGGATGTCCCCAACATCAAAAGGAATGACTTCCAGCTGATTGGCATCCAGGATGGGTACCTATCACTGCTCCAGGACAGCGGGGAGGTACCAGAGGACCTTCGTCTCCCTGAGGGAGACCTTGGCAAGGAGATTGAGCAGAAGTACGACTGTGGAGAAGAGATCCTGATCACGGTGCTGTCTGCCATGACAGAGGAGGCAGCTGTTGCAATCAAGGCCATGGCAAAATAACTGGCTCCCAAGGTGGCAGTGGTGGCAGCAGTGATCCTCCGAACCTGCAGAGGCCCCCTCCCCCAGCCTGGCCTGGCTCTGGCCTGGTCCTAGGTTGGACTCCTCCTACACAATTTATTTGACGTTTTATTTTGGTTTTCCCCACCCCCTCAATCTGTCAGGGAGCCCCTGCCCTTCACCTAGCTCCCTTGGCCAGGAGCGAGCGAAGCCATGGCCTTGGTGAAGCTGCCCTCCTCTTCTCCCCTCACACTACAGCCCTGGTGGGGGAGAAGGGGGTGGGTGCTGCTTGTGGTTTAGTCTTTTTTTTTTTTTTAAATTCAATCTGGAATCAGAAAGCGGTGGATTCTGGCAAATGGTCCTTGTGCCCTCCCCACTCATCCTTGGTCTGGTCCCCTGTTGCCCATAGCCCTTTACCCTGAGCACCACCCAACAGACTGGGGACCAGCCCCCTCGCCTGCCTGTGTCTCTCCCCAAACCCCTTTAGATGGGGAGGGAAGAAGAGGAGAGGGGAGGGGACCTGCCCCCTCCTCAGGCATCTGGGAAGGGCCTGCCCCCATGGGCTTTACCCTTCCCTGCGGGCTCTCTCCCCGACACATTTGTTAAAATCAAACCTGAATAAAACTACAAGTTTAATATGAAAAAAAAAAAAAAAGAAAGAAAGACGTGTAAAATGCCAAGAACTCTAGGAAACAGGGACAAAAACACTTCAAAGAGAAAGTTCATGCACTTGTTTCTGACCACCCAGGGCACCCTTCAGCACACGCTGTCTGGAGTGGCCTGAAGCAAGGAGTGTCTTGTGAGGTGCAGAGGATGCAATGGGAGCAGGGTCCTGTCCCCACCCTAAAGGAGTTCACAGTTTAACGCAAATGAGAAGCCAGTGAGGACATCACTACTCCTGCTGTGAACTTGGGAACTAGAAACACAAAACCTGAGTCTGGAGGGAAGCTAAGGAAGCATTCTGCTCTGGAGTAGACATGAGTGCGTGTGAAGCTTCTGATCTCCCATGAGAGCAATGGGGACATGGGGCAGAATCTAAAACCCATGACTGAAAGCACCAAATTGCTAAAATGGCAATAAAGAGACATGAGGCCAAGATGGAGAAGAAGGAACCCAGGACGAGGGTCAGCCTCACATTTGGGGCTCATTTCCCTCAGTTTCCTCACTGAATTTCAGAAGGGACTAACTGAGATGCAAAGAAGCAGAGCAGCTTTTGCACCATGTGGAGGACTAGATGGAAAACAAGTAGACTGAGGGTCTGCTAGTGAAGGTGACCCCTACTGAAGTCCACTGGCTTTGGTTGGGACCCAGAAGAGTCACACGCCAGGAATAGAGGTGGACAGGAAACACCCTGACTTTTGTAGGGACTGAACCTCACTGATAACCTCAATTGCGGATGGTATGGAGGGTGTCTAGGTGTGCTAGGACCCCTGCCCATTCCCCAGAAATAGACTCCCATCTTTTCTACAGCAAGATAACGTGCTAGTAGGCCTCAATTCATTGCTAAATATTTTTAACGAGTGTCTTACATTTAGCCAAAAAGACTAGTCATGTGGCAGGAAAAATACAATGTCATATGACCAAAAGCTAAAAGACTGTGAAAATGAATCCAGAGGTGACCCAAGCATTGAATTTAACAATGCCAGTACCTGGACCTCCGCTTGCCCCTAAAACATTACAATCAAGAATGTAGGAAGGGAAAGGAAACACGAAGATTAATCAAGCAGGAAGGACAAGCTCAGTTTTGCACCCACTGAATTTGCCACAAATATTGTGGAAAATATTCTCGGGGACATTGCAGTTGTCTACTTTGGTTGGCACATGGTTCATACAACAGTGTTTGTGTCAGTGAACATCTTACTCTTCCTCGGCAGTCTTTCTTTGCCCAGAGATTTCGCAATGACTGTTGACCTTCATCATCACCTTTTGGACTTTGGCTTGCACTTTAGCTTCTGTAGATCTCCATGATGTAAAGAAGTATTTTAGGTCCATTTTAATTCCTGCAAAGGATAAAATCCTTCTATTTGTGTGCATATAAGTGGACCTGAGCCCTTGGTTAGGGTGTAGAGAGGAGAAGGGGAGAAACCTGAGGGCCAGAAGCTGTTCTTTCCCTTAAAAGGGCAAACTCATTTCCACACTATGGGGACTCTGACAGATAGCATACCTTCCTGTCTATGGCTATTGGACCTGCAGGCTTTCCCCTGTAAATCCGTGTTCTGTCATTGACATTTTGTGACTGTAAGACAGACTTGAGATAAGACATCTAGAAAACAATAATTGAACAATGATGTGAATATATTTCACACAACTGAACTGTACATTTCAACAAGGTTAAGATGGTAATTATCACGTTATACATTTTTTACCGCAGGTTAAAATGTTTCACAGGTTGAAAGGAAAGCAACTACCTTCAGTTCTCTGAGTTCAAGAATTTGTAACATTTCACCCCCTGCTCCTTCCTGATCTTCTGTGGAGCATCTTTTTTCCATCCATGCTCTACTCAGAGCCCACTTTCCCTTCCCTGACACCAGCTTCACTGAGGCTGGTTGGAACCTAACACAAAACATTCTCAGTAATGACTGAATTCCCACAAAGAATTCCATATAGACTGCATATGAGTTGAATCTTCTAAGACATGAAATATTTGTTCTCTTCTTGGCTAATATGCAATGCAAATCCTGTTGCAGATGTACGTCATATACCTCTGAAATTCCTGATGTATTCAATGAAATAACATCTTTAAAGTTCTGTGTAGAATGTTTTTTTTCTGATTTCTTCACATACGATAGAAAAAAAAACCCAAAAAAACATGTACTAGGATTTCAATAGAAGCAATGGGTGATCTAAAAAGATGAAAGAGCAACCGCATGCGCCCTACAGCTACCGCTAGATTTTATGGGGAAAGCAGCTGGCCCAGTTTGCAGCTAGGAGAAATGTCAAACACATGAAGAAATGAGAAGCAAAGAAAAACCATGAGGCATGAACATTTCATGGCAATCACGATGTCCTGGTTTGTGAGATAATGGGATAGAGGAGTAGAAAACAAGGAGAAAGATGAGAAGGTACAAAGTGGTTCAAGTCAAACAGCTCAACTGAACTTTTCTTAATGGAATATTTAAAAAGTGGTACATTAAAAAACTTCCCCCAGTTCACATCAAAAATTCTCTCTTCAGGACTAAGTTGGGTAGAGACTGTTCAATGTGCCTAGATATCTTCAGAACTTATATATTTTCTGTTTTCTACGTATGTTGAAGGGCAGTGCCAAATGATGTGTAATTATCTAGGTTGTAAAAATAAAACATACTCCCCCTTCCCTTGAGGATAAAAAAGCATTGTGGTATTAGCACTTTTTTCTTGGATCATTGTTCAGAAGATGTTTAAGCCCCTAGACACCCAAACTTTTACTGTCATGAACAGCAAGAGAAAACGTAGAGCTCGATTTACTCAATGGACAAAAATGCTCAAAAGCCAAATTATGGCACAATTTAGCAGCCACATTCTTAACCAGTACAGACTTTTGACATACCGATCCCTCTCCAGTGGCAACCGAGAATGTGTACTTTGAATGATGCCATTTGAAATGACCACTCATTACTCTGCCCAGACACACTTTTCATTGATTCTTCGGAGGGCAGTTCCAAGAGATTCTCTGGGGCTTTCTCTGCATCATGAGACACAGTGCAGTTCTGCCCTTGACCTTCCTGCAGTTTGTCGCCTCTTCCTCATGATCTCAGAGGAACTTTGTCTCAGGCCAGCTGTTTGTTCCTTGGGCTCTTTCATTTCCCCTAAAAATCATTTGCTGTCCTGCCTTCATCTCCATCTCCCGTTTCCCTGAGAAGAGGGTGCTCATTAAGCATCAGTCATCTGGCCCTTCTTGCAGTCTCATTTTTTGGCTGGCTCCCATGTTTATGCATGTTAATAAGGTTCTATGTTTTCCTTCTCCTGTTAAGCTGTCTGTTGTTAGTACATTGCTGCAGTGAACTTTTAGAGAGGAGAGTGGAAGCTTTCCTTCCACCCATACAATAGAACTATAAAGCAGAAAAGTTTAGAAAGAATTTCTTATTTAAGTGCTGAAACTTTATACTTCAGTTTTTGATAAAGAGCAGAGGGCTTAAAAAAAACGTATTTTTGACCAAAAGCTCTGTTGACATTCTATTAAACAAACACAAACCTATTTAATTTTTTAATTAAATAGGTTGAATTAAAAATTTAAAAAAATTTTAAAAATCTGCCATAATTTAAATGGCAGATTTTTCATAATTCTTATGCTAATAAATCATTTCCTGATTTTTTAAATAAAACCCAATATTCATAATGAAGTCCAGAACCACAAATTGTTTTAAATAATTTCTTATTTGTGATTACAAGTCCACCTCTAGGGAAAGTTAGTGTACTCACACCAAGGCTAGTTTTGCAGAAGAAAATGGCAAGTTTGTAAATTCCCAGGGACACAACAATAATGATAAGCATCCAAGGAATTCCAAAAAAGTCAGGCCCGGGATGAAAATGCCCAGGCAGAAAATTGACGATATGGAATACTACTAGTTGACATAATGAGAAGGCTCAATGACATTTACAATATTTCAGTTACAAAGAATCATCCTTAGAAACCCTTAACCTCCTCCAAGAAGTAACCACACCCCTCAGATATCCCCGGGCAATTCCACTGCTTCAGGAAAGATTGGAAATTTCCAGTCTCATGTTTCTTGCATGGATGGTAGTGTATTTAGGCGTGCAAATGTGGGCTGTCTTTTTTCTTGGTCTGAAGCAGGCATGTCCAGTCTTTTGGCTTCCCTGGGCTATATTAGAAGGAGAATTGTCTTGTGCCACACATAAAATACACTAACAATAACTGATGAGAAAAAAAAAATCACAAAAAAATCTCAGAATGTTTGAAGAAAGTTTAGAAATTTGTGATGGGCTGCATTCAGAAAAGCTGTCCTGGGTTGAATACACTCTGCCACCCATGGGTTGGACAAACTAGTTATAAAGTAATTATCTTTAAAGTCATTTACTTATTTTTTAGATTGAAATATAATATTGAGTGTATTTGTCATGTATCACATGATAAAGGAATCTCTCTGGATCCCACTTCTCTCTTGAATTACATGAATCTTTGCAATTTAAAGAATGTAAGTAAAAAAATACAATTAAGAGATGACTTCATTCAGAAATAAGTATCAAATTTTAGTGCTTAAAAATAACCAAGGTGGAGGGTGGGGGCAGTGGCTCATGCCTGTAATCTCAGCACTTTGGGAGGCTGAGGCAGGTGGATTACCTGAGGTCAAGAGTTTGTGACCAGCCTGGCCAACATGGAGAAACCCCATCTCTACTAAAACATACAAAAATTCTCTGGGTATGGTGGCAGGTGCCTGTAATCCCAGCTAATTCGGAGGCTGAGGAGGCTGAGGAAGAAGAATCGCTTGAACCCAGGAGGCACAGGTTGTGGTGAGCCAAGACCACCCAGCTGCACTCCAGCCTGGGCAACAAGAGGAAACTCCATCTCAAAACAATAAATAAATAAATATTTAGATATTTGTGTTACATTATTTGTAATATATAAAAAAAGAGTCCACACTGTATGATGGAAGAATGAGAAAAATATAAGGAAAAAGTCTTAAAGTTATAGATGAAAATATGACATAAAGATATGTTTATATCTATGCAAAACTGAGAGTGGACAGCTGCTATAATAATAATACCTGGGTTATATTCCAACAAAAATAATCACAGATGGTTGTTTAGCCCAAGTTTCTAAAATCAGTGTTCACTTTGCTGCTGACACAGCGTACGTCACGTCAGATTTTCAAAGTCAAAAAGAATTTGCATAACAAAGTCTTTTTGGAATTATGATTAAAACTGTGAGAATTGAATTTAGTTAAAAATACAACACCGGCCAGGCACAGTAGCTCACGCCTGTAATCCCAGCACTTTGGGAGGCCGAGGTGGGAGGATCACGAGGTCAATAGATCGAGACCATCCTGGCCAACATGGTGAAACCCCATCTGTACTAAAAATACAAAAATTAGCTGAGCATGATGGCATACACCTGTAGTCCCAGCTACTAGGGAGACTGAGGCAGGAGAATTACTTGAACCCAGGAGGCGAAAGTTGCAGTGAGCCGAGATGGCTCCACTGCACTCCAGCCTAGCGACAGAGCGAGACTCCATCCTCCCCACCAAAAAAAGCCCACCAAATAACCAGTAACAAGAGTTCACCTTCATATTTTAGAGCATTGCACCTAAAGCAATCAGTAGCAACCTTGGAAATCTGCATGGAAAACAATATAAATGTTCTGGAATGTATGGCCACCACCACAAAAGGCACACATACTATTTTACAAGCACTAGATTTACAAGTATTGGGGGAGAAAATAAATTCAAAATGTAATTCAGACCAATCCACACACCAAGACTCAGTTTTGTGCAAATAAAACCTCTTTAGAAAGCAGCCTTTGACCTCTGTAGCACTTTTGTCTTCAGCCTCACAGTGGAGGTGAGTACAGCCTGGGCTCCTGGGAGGGATGCACTGTCCCTGAGGAGCCTCTGTCTGAAAAGGAGTAGGAGCTCTGGGCACAATGGTTAAAGATGTGGATCAAATGTACAAGAAGGATAAAGGCCATCTTGTCATTGACCAGGAACTCATCCCCCATCTTGGGCACTCTTGTCACACCTGACAACTATCTGGTTGTAGGTTATCAGTAGTGGGCTCCTACCTAGATTAGGTCCAATGGGGCCAGTAAAAGCTTCGGTTCTGACAGTCGATAGCCATGAGCAAGGGTGAAAGTAGAAAATGCAATGAGGAAAATGTATCCAAGTCTTCAAAGGTGAGGTAGGGAAAGAGAGTTTAACTGATCTATGAAAATGCAGCCAGGTAAAGGGGAAACAATTCCAACAAAGATTCTCAACACATTTCCTCCTTCATAGCCTCAAAAGAAACAATAGATTCTTTGATTGGAGGCATTCATGTGGGGTGATTCTGCCTGGATGCAGTGGTTGCTCCCCATCACTAGACTTCCAAATCCCTTCCTAAGAATCTGGTGCATGCCAGTCAGAACAAATATTCTCATCTCCATAAAGCACCCTCTCCTGAGTGTAGTGGAGAGGTTTTATAATGTGAGGGTGAAAACTTTCAAAGTAGAAACCTGTCATTTCTTTATATTTGGACAATCATAAGCACTTTAAGACCCTTTCTGGTTTGGGTAAATCAGTGATCTGCACAAGACACGCTTTACAAAACCCAGCTTCCTGTCCTTGCTTCTGGGCCGCTCCTTCCTTCTTGAGTTCTCAGGGTTCCTCATGGTCAATCCTGGCTGCAAAACATGAGAAACAAATGATGGCAGGAAGGCAGGAAGAACCTCATAGACAAGCAGAGTGGGAGGCTCCACAGCCCCCTCTCAGCAATTCATGTACTAAGCAACAAAACACCAGTAGGATGTAGAAGGTCCGAATAGTAAGCCATTTCCATCACTTCCATGTAGCCATCCGTCCATCATCCTTGTATATTGGGAATAAATGTTGGAGATACATTCATTTTAAGCACACATGGTACATTTACAAAAATTAACCCTACTTATTTTGTTCATCAAGCAAATCTCAATCATTTCAGAGAAATCAAATCACATAGCATGTTTCTGATCATATAATTATGCTAGAAGTCAATGATAAAAAGCTAACCACAAATTCTCATATGCTTGGAAATTCCAACGCCCTTATAAGTAAGACACAAACATAAGAAATAATCCAAAATGAAACAAGACTGCCTTTGCACTCAATGATAAGATCATAATACGGCAATAAAATGTCTCCATCTGGCCTGGGAATTCCACTTTGTGGCACAAGGTTGTGTGGTCTTAAATCATCCCTAATCCACCTAGACACTTTAACATCTGAAACGGGGTAATGATGTCACTTATCTATGTCATCTTACTGCCTGTGAGCATGGACTTTAAGCTTTGAACCCTAATGAGGGAAAGAAAACCAAGTTGACTCTCACGATTGACCTCCCAGGGATGTCCAAGGAATCTGTGTATTTCAAGAGACAAAGTTCATCAGCTTCTCTCCTGGAGGATTTGGCCACAATACCCAGAGGGCTTGGCAGCACCAGGAGTGATGGATGGGGAGTGTCAAGCAGGTGGGCAGGACCCAGGGGCCTGGTGACCAGGAGAGACACCCCAACTGGCCATCAGCTTTGCTGGCCTTGTCCTCAGCTAAACTTCCCAGAGGCCTTCTTCTGCCTGATGACACAGAGTGTGCCCAAACTCACTCAGTCCTCTGGCAGCCTAAAACCACTGCTTTAAATCCCTTCAGCATTTATGATGACACAAGGTTATTGTAAACAAGAAATATTCTATCACCGTTGTAAATGGAAAGCCAATGCCTTTACCATAAATAAAAAGAAACCCTAAGAAACAAGCAAAACAAAACAAAAACAGGGACAACAAAACAATGGAATTAAATTCTATTTGTGTGCTGTCACCTGCATAAAGACCCCCAGATTTGAGTTGTCTTGGTTGTAAAAGGAAAGACCAAGTAAGGGGAGTTGAAGTCAGATTAGCCCGAAAGTGAATGGGAGACCTGTGATGTCCATGAAGTGTTGTGGGGTCACCTTGATTATAGCCCAAGCAGAGAGAGGGAAAGGAAGGAGAAGCGAACAGAGTTTGGGCCCTCAGACAAGGAGAAGTCATTCATGTAACCAGGAAACACCTCCCGAAAGCCAGAGTCAACCTCCCTTGCAGGCGGGCCCCTCATGGTCCCTTGGAGGCTTGGCCAGGGGCCCTTGGCAGGACGAGGCACCTTGGGAGACCAGCTGTGCAACGCTGGGCTGGATTCCTTCTGTACAACTGGAGTGCTAATGGCTGTGTGCAAAGACTATCAGAAGACAGCAGGAAGTGGTTGAGCAGCTGTGTACCTGAGCATTGTAACCTCCCAGGGGCATCTTTCTTCCCAGAACTGGCACCCTGGGAGGTCCTTGGCCACTAAAGGCAGTGATGATGACAACAGCAGCCCCTCTTGTCGCCACTGTGCTAAGCATAGCACTTCGCAGGCATCATCTCCTGAGATCCTGAAGTACTATCACTGTTCCTTTGCACAGATGGGGATGTAGGTTCAGAGTGGTTGGGGGAGGGGGTGTATCCAGGCAGAGAAACAGATCTGGGGGAACTTGATTATCGGAGGGGACATTAGGAGAAGGGGAACCTGGGTCTGGAGACTCCCCAGGAAGATGCGGCCACAGAGATGCTTTGCCCAGGACCCAGCGTTGCCCTGGTCAGTCCTGCTCAGATGAGGTCCAACCAGGTGGCTGTGTTCCCAGCCCAGCACCTCCATCTATGAGTGAGGGTCAGTCACAGCTGTGATGATGGGGATATATCATAGCATGTTCCTCATAGCATTATTGTGACGCAGAGAGTGCCAGCCCACTCAGGCACAGGGCATGGTTCTGGGGGCACATCTGTCTTTCTCTCTTGACCTCTAGATCTACTAAGCACCACGCAACACCCCCACTCTAATCATACCCAGACAGGGTACTGGGCCCAACCTTGTGCTCCTGTTCCCAGAGTCACCCAACCCTGGCCTGTCTCTGACATCTCCGGGCCCAGGCACAGCCCTTCTATAGGCCCTGGAAGGGGCACATCCCCAGCCCTGGGTTTGAAACCTGGAAAATACTTTCTTCCAAGAGAGCTCAGGAGGGCCAGGTCATGCCTGGGTCTGTTCTGTCCGCTGGTCCCAGGATTGCCCTCTGGAGTGCCACCTCTGGTTGTACTGTGGGCTGGGGTCTGGGAGTGTGTGCATGTTTGGGTGCGTAAATCTGCATATATTCATCTGTGCATCTGAGTGTCTGTGTCTGTGATTATGTCTCTGTGTAGCTGTCTCAGGGTGGCTCTGTGTTTTTCTCTATCTTTGTATGCATTTGGGTGTCCTTTCTTTCTGAATGAGTGTGTGTTGGTTGTGCAAATCTGTGTTTGTGTTTCTGATTGGGTAATGTGTGTGTCTCTGGCATGTGTGCCCCCTGTGGGAGTGTCTGTGTATACCTGGCTTCTGTATCTTTGTGTATGTGTTGAGGTGTGTGCGTGTGAATTTGCTTCTCCTTTGGGTGTCCCTGATTGTGTTTGTATTTGTGTGTTTATGTTTTGTGTAGTGTGTGTGTTCTATGTCTGATTCTCTGCCTGTGGGTCTGTGCCAGTGTGTGTGTGTGTGTGTGTGTGTATGTGAGCACGTGTGCGCACACGTGGGTGTCCACTGTGTGTAGAGTCAGCCCTGTGGGGCTGTGTCTCATGGTTCTGTGTGTGTATCTGTGTCCTCCTGGTGTGTGTGTTTATGTGCCTGTCCGTGGGCCATACTCCTGAGTGCCCAGGTGAAGCTGGGGCGGTTCTGTGCCTCTGTGTCTCTGTGCTCGCGGTATCTGTTTATCTCCCTGTGAGTTTCTGGGTTTGTGCACCTCGGAAGTTGGCAGTCACAGAGAGGCCTCTCCAGTGCTGACCTCCAGGGGTGGCTGAGAAGGGGACAGCATGTGCTTCTCTCATCCCCCGGCAGGGCCTTTTCTGCCCCTGCTTTTCTGAGCCTCTGGTGGCCCCCTGGTGGTCCCTCTTAGGCCCCAAGGAGGGACGGCATGAAGGGTCAGGTCACAGGACTCCAGGCCAGGGTTGTGAGGAGGACTCTGGGTCGCCGGAGAGAGTTATATTGAAAGAAGGAAGATTGTCTGTGGGGGGAGGATTCTGGGCTGGAGGGAGCCTGGGCCCTGGGAGGGTGAATGAGTGAGGTCCTCTAGGAAGGGCTCGGGGACAGAGCTCCTGGGCCACTTGGAAGGTCTGATGTGTAGGTGACTACAGGGGATAGCTAGGGGCAGGGCTAGAGGAGTGCTGGGTGCCCAGAGGCTGAGGCCCTCACTCACACATGCCAGGTTTAGGCTGGGGCACATGTGCACATGGGCACTATTGGGGGACACAAAGGACCATTGGGTGGGGGAGGCAGCGGTGGTCTGGCAGGCAAATATAGTCCCCAAGCCAAGGCTGACCACCCAGGACATCTGCCCTGCCCCGGCCTTCCTGGGGCCTCACTCCAGGGCACAGGCACGTGCCCGGTGCCACATGGGGCACACCTCCTGGACCCCTGTGTCTTGGCCATTGAAGGGTGCTTAGGGCTACCCTGAGAAACTGGTGCCAGGAGGGAGAATCTGGTCTCAAGATATTTCAGGTTGTGGATTAGGGAGAACTACAGAAGGAGGGCATTTAACATAGGTTCATTCCCAGAACAAATGCTCCACACAGGGTATTGTCGAAATTAATATTTTATTACCTGGAACTCCAATCTGTGTACTCACCTGGGAAATTCTAAAGACACAGAGAGGAGTTGGAGGAAGCAGAGTAACTGAATGTAACTTAAAATAACAAAAACAGTCCGGGTGCGGTGGCTCACGCCTGAAATCCCAGCATTTTGAAATGCTGAGGTGGGTGGATCACCTGAGGACAGTAGTTCAAGACCAGCCTGGCCAACACGGTGAAACTCTATTTCTACTAAAAATACAAAAATTAGCTGGGTGTGGTGGCGGGCACCTGCAGTCCCAGCTACTCAGGAGGCTGAGATGGGAGAAGGGCTTGAACTCGGGAGGCGGAGGTTGCAGTGAGCCAGGATCACGCCACTGCACTCCAGCCTGGGCAACAAGAATGAAGTTCTGTCTCAAAAAAAAAAAAAAGAAAAGAAAGAAAAAGAAAAGAAAAACATTGGAATTGTGGTCCTCCTGATGCTTTTCCAAATCAACCCTCTCAATGTCTCATCATCACCCCGCCCTAGTGGGGAGACTGAAGTGGCCAGGGATTTGCCGAAGGTGCCAGTTGGTTCCGAGTTCACTGCTGATTACATCTGACCAAGCTCCTTTTCTCAAGTTCACCTTGTTTAATCTTTCCAGTGACAGTTTTCCGCAGCTCCGGGACAAACTCCATCTGGTTAAGTATAAGGGAAATCCACAGTGACTTACCAATTCCCTACCCTCCTCCTCTGCCCCTCCACAGTCTCCCACACAGGCTGACACCATATGGTCGCCTTAATGGAATCCACCAAGTGTGTCAGGTTCTCCCCTTGACCCTTTGAAGGTGGATGTAGCCGTGTGATGTGACTCAGGAGCTGTGAGTGGAAGTGAAGCGTGTCACTTCAAGACAGAAGAGTTGGGAGCCCCTGAGACTGGCCACCCTCTCCTCCATCTCTTAGAGAAGCTGACAGGTGATGAGGGGATGTGAAGCACAAGGCCCAGCAGAGCCATGGTGGACGTGCCGCATGAGCAGGATAAGAACCTTCAGTGTTGTAAATTTCCATTGTCTGGGGCTGTCCACTGAACCTACAGTGATATCTGGCCCATCGTAGCAGGCATGCACCATCTATTTCATGCTCTGTGAAGCAGGCTAGCCTACCCTCAGAACATGAACTTGTCAGACACACATAGGTTTCAGTTTCAGCCCTGCCTCTTAATGACTGCAACCTCGGGCATTTGACTTTGAGTCTCCGAGCCTCAGTTTTGTTTTTGTAAAATGGTTTGCTATGCTATCTCAGGTGGAAGAGAGGATTTAATGAAATAAAAATCCATGTAAAGCATTGAGCCTAGGGGCTGGCACACACAGTGAGTACTCAATCAAGGTTAGCCATGTAGCTTCATAATGTGTATTGACTGTAAATACTCAGACACTGCAGCAAAGTATTACAAAGAAGGAAGTGTTAACTTTTTGGCATATGTATCTCTTTGCACTTTATTTTCAAAGGGGTAGGATAATACCACGTATACTTTTTCATAGTACGCTTTTTTCTCTTAATATGTGTTGAGATATATGTTAAATATATAAAAAACTGAATCATTATTTTAAATTGCAGGGTTATATTCAATTTTATGAAAACCTTATTTCTCTATTGTTTGACTTTTTGTAGGTTGCACAAGGCATTGAATTAAAATAAACATATCAGAATGCATTGCATTTATAAAGATAAATATCATTCTATTAATTTTTGTTTGTTATATGTATGTATATATATTTTGAGTTGCAAGACAGAACATATTTCTTCCTATGAATCATGTTAGAAAAAGTTTGGAAGCTGCTGATTTGGATTTTTTTTTTAATTTTTACAGGATTATAAATAACCTTTTTAAAAATATCCTTGGGCACTTGACTGATTTTTGTCTTTAGGTTAACATGCCAGCAATGATTCCTTTTGGGTTTCTGACACAAGATAGCAATTTCCATCCAAATAAATCAACTATGCCATCCCATCCCTAAACCAAATTCCTTCTTCTGCAGAAGAAAAAGCCAGTACTGTGACTGCCTAAGCTTTCCCCTGCACAGCCACCCTATGAGACATGGGGCAGGAGCACTGGGAGCTATTCAGGAGCACCAGACCCCTTCCATCTGCCCTCACTCACCTTCCTTGGGGACTTGCATGAGACTGTCACTGACTTTACATGCTTCTGCAGCTCCTTGGTCAGCTGGTCCTTGTCACGGGACAGAAACTGTGGGGTCAGGACAATAAACACCTTCACGACCTGCAGAACGAGGGCAGAGGCTTATGGTGAGTGTCAATGTATTACATATCTTAAAAAGTCAATATTGGTGGGGTGCAGTGGCTCACACCTGTAATCCCAGCACTTTGGGGGGCTGAGGTGGGCAGATCACTGGAAGTCAGGAGTTTGAGACCAGCTTGGCTAACATGGTAAAACCCGATCTCTACCAAAAATACAAAAATTGACTGGGTGTGGTGGTGCACACCTGTAGTCCCGGCTACTTGGGAGGCTGAGATGGGAGAATTGCTTGAGCCCAAGAGGCAGAGGTTGCATGAGCTGAGATCATACCATTGCACCCCATTCTGGGCTACAAGAGTGAAACTCTGTCTCAAAAAAATAAAATAAAATAACAAGAAAATATAGAGAATTTCACCAAATACCTGGACTTTATTTTTTAAGGATTAAAAAGGATATAGAATTGAGAAAATAACAGAAATTGAAAACCCAATAGATGGATTTATCAGCAAATTAGACAAAACAGAAGAGAGGATTAAAGAAGTGGAAGTTAGGTTAGTACAAAACACTGAAATTGAAGGTTAGAGAGAGAGAAAACGATGGGAAATATAGGAAAGTTAACAAGAGACATGGAACATGTCAGACAGGTCTAACTTGTGAGGAATTAGAGTCCCAGAACCAGAAAGGAAGTGGAACAGTACCTCTATTTAAAGAGAAAATGGGGTTGGGTACAGTGGTTCAAACCTGTAATCACAGCACTTTGGGAGGCCGAGGCGGGCAGATCACTTGAGGTCAGGAGTTTGAGACCAGACTGGACCAGACTGAGACCAGTTTCTACCTCCTCCATAACAGGAGGTAGAGAGCACCTCTACAAAAAATACAAAAATTATCCGGGCATGGTGGTGGGTGCCTGTAGTTCCAGCTACTCTGGAGGCTGAGGCAGGAGAATTGCTTGAACCTGGGGGGCGAATGTTGCAGTGAGCCAAGATTGCACCACTGCACTCCAGTCTGGATGACAGAGTGAGACTCTGTCTCAAAAAACATAAATAGGCCGGGCACGGTGGCTCATGCCTGTAATCCCAGCACTGTGGGAGGCCGAGGCAGGTGGATCACAAGGTCAGGAGATCGAACCCTTCCTGGCTAACACGGGGAAACCCCGTCTCTACTATAAATACAAAAAATTAGCTGGGTGTGGTGGCGGGCGCCTGTAGTCCCAGCTATTTGGGAGGCTGAGGCAGGAGAATGGCGTGAACCCAGAAGGCGATGTTTGCAGTGAGCCAAGATCGCACCACTGCACTCCAGCCTGGGTGACAGAGTGAGACTCCGTCTCAACAACAACAACAACAACAACAACAACAAAATAAATTAAAAAAATAAAAATAAAAATAAAAATAAAAGGAAATTTTAAAAAAGAGAAAATGTTCCCCCACAAATCTCAAAACAAATAAAAGACATTAATTCACAGACAGGAATGTCTGCAAATCCTAAGCAGGTGAATAGAAAAAAAGTCGTGATTAAATTGCTAAAAAAAAGATAAAAGGAGACATTCAAAAGAAGCCAGAGGAAAAAAAGACATATTACTTTCAAAGAAACAACAATAAGTAGGAGAAGGACTTTTCATCAGAAACTACAGAAGCCAGAAACCCACGGAATGACATTTTTCATGTTGAAATGAAAAAAATCTGCCAACATAAAATTCTACCCACTGAAATATACTTCAAAAATAAAAGCGTAGGTTTCTAGAAAATGGCAGCAATGACGATGACGTCACTTTTAAATCTCCCCTCATCATCACATACCAACGGAGTAACTAGATGACAAAACCAAAAACTCATGGACAATACAACACAACTACATGATAAAATCCTAGCAGAAACAAAACAAGACTTCCAGCAAGACTCATCAGGAAAAAAGACATAATGTCCAATTTTGAGAACAAAAAGAAGATGTCAATTAAATCCTACAGATATTAAAAATAAAAGAATATTATAAACAACTTCATGTCAATAAACTTGACAGCTAGATGAAACTGACAAATTTCCTCAAAAGACACAAATTACAAAATCCAAATTATCCTATATCTATTAAAGAAATTAAGGCAAAGAGAATCTACAGCTAAGTTATTAGAATGGATAAGAATATTTAGGCCTGGTGCAGTGGCTCATGTCTGTAATCCCAGCACTTTGGGAGTCCGAGGTGGGAGGATTGCTTGAGCTTAGGAGTTCGAGACCAGCCTGGGCAACATGGTGAAAGACCATCTCAAATTTTTTTTTTTTTAAAAGAATGGATAAGAATATTCAGCAAGAATGTGGGATACAAAATATAAAAATCATTCGCACTTCTAGCAGCCACAAACAGAAAGGACAAATTTTAAAAAGATACCATTTATGGTTACAATAAAGGATACAAAATGCCTAAAAATAAATTTAACAAAAGATGTGTAAGTGGAAAAAATTATATATCTTTATGAAAGCTATTAAAGAGGCCAGGCATGGTGACTCACACCTATAATCCCAGCACTTCAGGAGGCCGAGGCAGGTGGATCACCTGAGGTCAGGAATTCGAGTCCAGCGTGGCCAACTTGGGGAAACCCCGTATCTACTAAAAATACAAAAGTAGCTGGGCATGGTGGCATGTGCCTGTAATCTTAGCTACTGGGGAGGCTGAGGCAGGAGAACCTCTTAGAACCTGGAAGGCAGAGGTTGCAGTGAGCCGAGGTCGTGCCATTGCACTTTAGCCTGGGCAACAGAATGCGACTGTGTCTCAAAAACAAAACAAAAACAAAAACAACAAGAACAAGAGAAAAACATTAAAGAAGTCTTAGGCAAAAGAGACACAGGCCATATTCCAGCTTTTATTTGAAGTTCAGGAGTACATGTGCAGGTTTGTTATATAGGTAAACTCTCGTCATGGGAGTTTGCTGCACAGATTATTTCATCACCCAGGTATTAAGCCCAGTACCCACTAGTTATTTTTTCTGCTCCTCTCCCTCTTCCCACCCTCCATCTTCCCATAGGCCCCAGAGTCTGTTGTTCCCCTCTATGCATCCATGTGTGCTCATTATTTGTCTCTCACTTATACATGAGAACATGTAGTATTTGGTTTTCTGTTCCTGCATTAGTTTGAAAAGGATAGGGCCATATTCATAGATTGGGATATTCAGTCTTTTGAAGATGTCAGTCTCCCAACTGATTTATAGCTACAACATGTACTATAATTCAAACAAATCCTAACAGCTTTTTTTTTTTTTTTTTTTTTTTTTTTTGATACGGAGTCTTGCTCTGTGGCCCAGGATATAATGCAAAGGTGTGATCTCAGCTCACTGCAATCTCCGCCTCCCAGGTTCAAGTGATTCTCCTGTCTCCTGCCTCAGTCTCCCTAGTAGTTGGCAGTACAGGCTTACGCCACCACGCCCAGCTAATTTTTGCATTTTTAGTAGAGACAGGATTTCCCCATTTTGGCCAGGCTGGTCTCAAACTCCTGACCTCAGGTGATCCATCCGCCTCAGCCTCCCAAAGTGCTGGGATTACAGGAGTGAGCCTGTAATGAAATTTGATAATCTATTTTAAATCTTATTTGAAAAAGCCAAAAGCCAAGATACTCTTGAAGAATAAGATGAGGAAGTTACTTTAGCAGACATCTAGCAGATAACTAGGAAGCTACAGTAATTAAGGCAGACTGGTTTACACAATTACACCGTGATAGACAAGTTAAATAATGACACAAAATAAAGAGGCCAGAAACCAACTCTCCTTTACATAGAAATTGGATTCATGACTGAATTGTAACTGCAGATCTGTGAAGAAATGATGAGCTCTTCAATAAGTAGTTCCAGGAAAAATTGTTATCATTATGGGGGAAAAGAGAAACCAGAGCTCTACCTCATACCATAGAAAAAATTTGATTTGGAATACTTAAATGTGAAAAATTAAACTGTAAAAATTTTAGAAGAAAATATCAATTATGAGAATGATTTTTTTTTTTTGAGACAGAATCTCCGTCCGTCACCCAGGCTGGGGTGCGGTGGTGTGATCTTGGCTCACTGCAACCTCTGCCTCCTGGATTCAAGTGATTCTCCTGCCTAGGCCTCCCAAGTAGCTGGGATTACAGGCACCCACCACCATACCTGGCCAATTTTTGTATTTTTAGTGGAGATGGGGTTTCACCATGTTGGCCAGGCTGGTCTTGAACTCCTGACCTCAAGTGATACACCCAGCTCAGCCTCCCAAAGTGCTGGGATTACAGGCATGAGCCACTGCGCCCAGCCTTCCAAGAATGATTTTTTTAAGCTCAGAAAGTGAAATAAATACAGAAAAATGCTGATGAATACAACTACTATGTTTGTTTGCCAGTGCTACACAACCAATCCTCAAATTTAGCAGCTTAAAGCCATCTGTTAGCTTGTGGATCTGTAGGCCAGAGGCCCAGGCGTGGTGTGGCTGAGCTTTCCACTTGGGGTCTTGCCAGCTTCAATCAAGGTGCCAGCAGGGCTGTGTTCTCACCTGGAGCCCTGAGTCCTCTTTCACGCTCACATGCTTGTGACAGGTTCATCTCCCTAAAGTTGTAGGATGGAGGTCTCGGGGTCCTTGTCTGGGTCCTTGTCGGCTATCAGGCAGGACCTGCTCTTAGTTCCTGGAGGGCATCTGCACGTAGCTTCCTCCATCTTCAAAGTCAGCCTTGGCCAGGCACAGTGACTCACTCACCGCCTGTAATCCCAGCACTTTGGGAGGCCAAGGCATGTGGATCACTTGAGGTCAGGAGTTTGAGACCAGCCTAGCCAACATGGCGAAACTCTGTCTCTACAAAAAAATACAAAAATTAGCTGGGAGTGGTGGTACTTGCCTATAGTCCCAGCTACGCAGGAGGCTGAGGCACGAGAATCACTTGAACCTGGGAGGCAGAGGTTGCAGTGAGTGGAGATTGCACCAGTGCACTCCAGCCTGGGCCACAGAGTGAGACCCTGTCTCAAAAACAAACAAACAAACAAACAAACAACTAAAAACACCAGCCAGATTTGCTTGCCAAGTTTTTCCTGCAATTTGAAACTCTCTGAAGTTTTCTGTCTCTGGTCCCTAGACCCCAGATTGAAGGGATCATGTGATGAGGTTGGGCCCACCTAGATAATCTCCCTCTTGATTAACTCATATGCAACCAATTAGTAATCCTAGTTACACCTGCAAAATTTCTTTTGCCATATATGCAGCATGATCACAGAAGTGACATCCTGCTATATCCACAGGTTCTGTCCACTCTTCAGGGGGACATCTTAAAAGGGTGAGGGTCGTGAGAATTCTGCCTACCACAGTTATATTATAATTAAAAACTTCTATTCTTCAAATGACACTATAGGAAGGTAAAAGGGCAAGCTACAGAATGGGATGTAAGATTTACAATACACATAATTGATAAGGGAGTTATTTCTAGGATATATATTTAATTAATTTATTTAGAGATGATGTCTCACTCTGTCACCCGTGCTGGACTGTAGTAGTGCAATCGTAGCTCACTGTGGTTTTGACCTCCTAGGCTCAAGTGATCCTCCAACCTCCGCCTCCCAAGTAGCGGGGACTACAGGCACATGACACATGCTCAGCTAATTTTTCTATTTTTTGTAGAGACGTGGGTCCCACTATGTTACCCAGGCTAGTCTCGGACTCCTGGGTTCAAATAATCCTCTCGCCTCAGCCTCCCAAAGTGCTGGGATTACAGGTATGAGCCACTGCATCTGGCAAAGAATATATATTTTAAATCTTACATATTAATAAGAAAAAAGATAATAGAAAAAGAGACAAATGAAATAAACATATTTTCACAAAAAAAAACTCAAAATATCAACACTTGTATGAATACATGTGTATTTTTTTCTTTATTTTACTTATTTATTTTTTTGAGATGGAGTCTTGCTCTGTGGCCCAGGCTGGAGAGTGCAGTGGCGTGATCTCGACTCACTGCAATCTCTGCTTCCTGGGTTCAAGTGACTCTCTTGCCTCAGCCTCCCGAGTAGCTGAGATTACAGGTGTATGCTACCACACTAAGCTAATTTTTGTATTTTTAGTAGAGACAGGGTTTCACTATGTTGGCCAGGCTGGTCTCAAACTCCTGATCTCAGGTGATCTGCCCATCTTAGCCTCCCAAAGTGTTGGGATTACAGGCGTGAACCACCACACCCGGCCATGTGTATTTTTAATTGTGGAAAAATTTGGTGTCCAGTGCTTGGTCTTCCCTGCTCTGGGAGGCCCAGGTGACTCTGCCACAGCCTGTGTTACTCTGTGACCTGCAGGTACTGGGAGATCCACAGGGAAGACACTGGGACATCCTAGAAGCTGGGAAATGAAAAGAAGAGTGAAGAATGCAACCACACATGGATGGATGGTCTTTTCCATAACATAATGCCTGCCTCTCAGGCTCCAATTCCAAAGCGAATCATTTACAGTTAATTTCTGTCTCCTGGGTTGATCATTCTCCCTAACCATCACTTGCTGCCCCTCAAAGGAATTGTCTACATTCCCTATCTCCTCCTTACCCTGTGAAAAAGGGTATGTCAGCTTCTATACCCCATTGGGAGGTTGGGAAATCACTGACTCTCCCCTGCCCCATACATTAATTCATCTGTATGCCTTTTCTTCTATTAAAAATAAGTGAAAACTCAGTAAGACACCATTTTACCCCACTGTATTAGCAAACCTTTAAAAATCTGACAATTTCAAGTCTTTCCAGTGAATCATAGTGTTACTGGTGGCAAATCCCTAGGGGGCTGCAGCAACCTCAATTCTTGCCTCCTCAGCAGAAAGAATTTGACCAACAGCATAATACGGCAGAATGAGAGACCAAGGCAAGTTTTAGAGCAGCAGTGAAAGTTTATTAAAAAACTAGGCCTGGCTCGGTGGCACATGCCTGTAATCCTAGCACTTTGGGAAGCCGAGGCGAGCAGATCACATGAGGTCAGGAGTTTCAGACCAGTCTGGCCAACATGATGAAACCCCAACTCAACTAAAAATACAAAAAAAAAAAAAAAAAAAAAAAAAAAAAAATTAGCTGGGCATGGTGGCAGGTACCTGTAATCCCAGCTACTCATGAGGCTGAGGCAGGAGAATCACTTGAACACGGGAGGCAGAGTTCGCAGTGAGCTGAGATCGCGCCGCTGCACTCCAGCCTGGGCAACAGAGCAAGACTCCCTCTCAAAACAACAACAACAAACTTTAGAGCAGGACTAAGAGGAAGTAAAGTACACTTGGAAGAGGGCCAGCGGACGACTTGAGAGATCAAGTGCACTGTTTGACCTTTGACTTGGGGTTTTATCTGTTGACATAGTTCCAGGGTTGTACATCCCTTCTCCCCTGATTCTTCCCTGGGAGTGGGCTGTCCACGTGTGCAGTGGTCTGTCCACGTGTGCAGTGGTCTGCTAGCAGTTGGGCGGTGAGCACGCAGTGTGTTTACTGGAGTTGTGTGCATGCTCACTTGAGGCATTCTTCCCCTACCAGGTGAATGTCCCTAGAAGTTAAACTCCACCATTTTGCCTCTTAGTGTGCATGCTTGAGCCCACTCGCCCAACTCCTGAGATCTTATTGGGAAGCTGCTGATCACCAGTTTCAAGTTTGTTCTATCTATTAGGAGATGGCCTTTCCCTGGTGCAGGCTGCGACCCATTATTAGAGACAGTTTAACAATCGCCTGGTGGTTGGTGACATTACTGGTGGGGGGGTGGGGGTCGAGCCCTCTCCTGCCCTGCTCATGCCTGACTAGCTACCTGTAACAATAGGAACTCACATACTTTTGACACGAGTTTAAATTAGTGCAACCTCTTTGGATAACAAATCGTGATGATCTATAAAGTTGGAAATGTACACCCTCTACAATCCAAGAGTTTCATCCCTGGGTATGTAATTGACAGAAATGCATGCATGGCTGGTTATAGTGGCTTATGCCTGTAATCTCAGAACTTTAGGAGGCTGAGGCGGGAGGATTGCTTGATCCCAGGAGTTCGAAACCAGCCTGGGCAACATGGCAAAATCTTGCCTCTACAAAAAGATATGAAAATTAGTCAGGCATGGTGGTACATGCTTGTAGTCTCAGCTACTCAAGAGGCTGAGAGGGGAGGAGCAATTGAACCCAGAAGGTCAAAGCTGCAAGGAGCTGTGATCATGCCACTGCACCCCTGCCTGGGTGACAGTCTCAGGGTCTTTTGAGACAGACCCTGTCTCAAAAACAAAAAAAAAAAAAAAAAAAAAAGAAGAAGAAGAAGAAGAGGAAGAAATGCATGCACATGGATGTCCAAGCCAGAAAAACAAATAAACCTGGAGACAATGGGAAATAATTTAAATGTCCATCAACAGTAGAATGTTGTAAACAAAATATACAATAATGTGTAAATAAATTATAGAATACTTTAAAGGTAATTACATGGTTCCATTTCTTAAAGTTGGTGGATCCTACAACACAGGTGTTTGTTTCACTCTTCCTTCAAGAAGTCTTTCCAACTCCTCTGTCCCTTCCCTTGACCAGAAGTCAGAGGCGGACAGGCACTTAAAGATCAGGAACTTACCCCTCGGCTTCACAAACGAGGGGACGAGGGAAGGAGACACATGTCAGGACTTCTCTTGAAACCCTCCTCTTTGTCTGCATAGGATGCCCTCCTCTTTTCCTTCTCAGTAACTGTCTGTCAACATCCTCTTCATCTTTTAAGGCCCTTCCTTGGGATCCTTAGAGGGCACCCTGGTCCATCTACCTGTTGAGAAAACTGAAGTTCAGAGAGGTTGAAGGGTGAACTTAAGGCATGCAGTCATTGAGAGGCAGCCTTGGCTCTCTGGAATCTGTGCTCTCTTTATCAGCAACATCCAGTGCTAATTTATGTCTGTACCCATGGCACACTTGAAGACAGTTCCTTATAAACAGGAGGTGCTCAGTAAATGCCACCTCCTCCCTCCGGGTCTTTACTGAGTTTAAACAAGAGCTTTCAATGAAATAAAAGAGGATACAAACAAATGGAAGAACATTCCATGCTCATGGGTAGGAAGAATCAATATCGTGAAAATGGCCATACTGCCCAAGGTAATTTATAGATTCAATGCCATCCCCATCAAGCTACCAATGACTTTCTTCACAGAATTGGAAAAAACTACTTTAAAGTTCATATGGAACCAAAAAAGAGCCCACATCGCCAAGTCAATCCTAAGCCAAAAGAACAAAGCTGGAGGCATCATGCTACCTGACTTCAAACTATACTACAAGGCTACAGTAACCAAAACAGCGTGGTACTGGTACCGAAACAGAGATATAGATCAATGGAACAGAACAGAGCCCTCAGAAATAATGCCACGTATCTACAACTATTTGATCTTTGACAAACCTGAGAAAAACAAGCAATGGGGAAAGGATTCCCTATTTAATAAATGGTGCTGGGAAAACTGGCTAGCCATATGTAGAAAGCTGAAACTGGATCCCTTCCTTACACCTTATACAAAAATTATTTCAAGATGGATTAAAGACTTAAACGTTAGACCTAAAACCATAAAAACCCTAGAAGAAAACTTAGGCATTACCATTCAGGACATAGACATGGGCAAGGACTTCATGTCTAAAACACCAAAAGCAATGGCAACAAAAGCCAAAATTGACAAATGGGATCTAATTAAACTAAAGAGCTTCTGCGCAGCAAAACAAACTACCATCAGAGTGAACAGGCAACCTACAAAATGGGAGAAAATTTTCGCAACCTACTCATCTGACAAAGGGCTAATATCCAGAATCTACAATGAACTCAAACAAATTTACAAGAAAAAACAAACAACCCCATCAAAAAGTGGGCGAAGGACATGAACAGACACTTCTCAAAAGAAGACATTTATGCAGCCAAAAAACACATGAAAAAATGCTCACCATCACTGGCCATCAGAGAAATGCAAATCAAAACCACAATGAGATACCATCTCACACCAGTTAGAATGGCGATCATTAAAAAGTCAGGAAACAACAGGTGCTGGAGAGGATGTGGAGAAATAGGAACACTTTTACACTGTTGGTGGGACTGTAAACTAGTTCAACCATTGTGGAAGTCAGTGTGGCGATTCCTCAGGGATCTAGAACTAGAAATACCATTTGACCCAGCCATCCCATTACTGGGTATACACTCAAAGGACTATAAATCATGCTGCTATAAAGACACATGCACACGTATGTTTATTGCGGCACTATTCACAACAGCAAAGACTTGGAACCAACCCAAATGTCCAACAATGATAGACTGGATTAAGAAAATGTGGCACATATACACCATGGAATACTATGCAGCCATAAAAAATGATGAGTTCATGTCCTTTGTAGGGACATGGATGAAATTGGAAATCATCATTCTCAGTAAACTATCACAAGGACAAAAAACCAAACGCCGCATGTTCTCACTCATAGGTGGGAATTGAACAATGAGAACACAT